>NC_000006.12:119919274-120222305 GCF_000001405.40 Homo sapiens
CAGCAAAGTTTCAGGAGGTAATAAAATGGTAAAATCAAAAAAATTCTCCTGTACTTGTCTCAAAGTCTCCATTTAAGACTCTAAAAAGTCATCTTAAAAATAGTTTTTAAAGTAAAATTTTCAAAGAGAATAATGATATCAGAACACTGGAGAAATGTAACCAGAATATAAAAAAATTAAATATATTCAAAGGAAATTGAATAAAAAATAGTAACTCAAGAAAGAGAAAAAATAAATTTCAAATAGAGATGTATTAATCATGGCTCTGTTTGCATGATGCTGAACATCTGAACAGTATTTGAGAATTTTTGTCAAATATTTAAATGAATAATTAGCACATAAAGTTAAGCTTTTGAAAATTGCTTTGAAGCTATCAGTTTTATAGTAATGCTTGGCATTTTCAAGTTTTAGTCTTTAATTTAAACATTTTTTAAAATCAACCTTTACTTTAGATACAGTGAGTACACGTGCAGGTTTGTTACATGGGGATATTGAGTGATGCCGAGATTTGGGATATGAATGATCCCATTACCCAGGTAGTGAGGATAATACCTGATAGGCAGTTTTTCAGCCCTGGTCTGCTTCCCTCCCTCTCCCCTCTTTCCAAGTTAGATTCTCTTGTCTAATTGCTCTTGCTAGGAACTACGATGCTGTATTGAATAAAGTGGTAAATGTTGACATCCTTGTCTTATTCCAGATCTTGGTAAGAAGACTTTCCATTTCTCCCCATTCAGTATGATATTAGTTGCAATCTTGATATATTTGGCTTGTATCTGGTTTTTTTAATGCTCAATTTGTTGAGGGTGTTTATTATAAAACAGTGTTGAATTTTATTAAATGCTTTTTCAGCATCTATTTGAATGATTGTATGGTGTTTGTCCTTGATTATGTTGATGTGATGTATCATGTTTATTGGGTATTTTGAACCATCCTTGCATTTCTGTGATGAATCCCACATGATCTTGGTGAATTATCTTTTTAAAGTGTTTTTGAGTTGTATTTTCTAGTATTTTGTTGGGTATTTTTGCATTTATGTTCATCAGGCATGTAAGCTAGTAGTTTTCTTTTTCTGTGTCTTTGGTATTGCTATCAGGGTAATGCTGGCCTTATAGAATGAGTTTGGAAGTATTCCTTCCTCTTCAATTTCCTTTTGAAGAGTTCGATTATAATTGACATTCATTCTTTAAATGTTTAATAGAATTCAGCAGTGAATCCATCAAGTCCTGGGCTTCTCTTTAGTGGGAGACATTTTATTATTGCTTCAATCTCACTACTTATTACTGATTTGTTCAAGTTTTCTATTTCTTCATGGTTCAATCTTGGTAGGTTGTAAATGTCCAGGAATGTAACCATTTCTTCTAGATTTTTAAATTTATTGGTGCACAGTGGTTCATAATATTCTCTACAATATTTTGTACTTCCGTGATATCAGCTGTAATGTTTTCTTTTTAGCTCTGATTTTATTTATATGGGTATTCTCTCTTTTTTTCTTAGTGTAGCTAAAGGTTTGTCAATTTTGTGTTTTTTAAAAAGCAAATTTTTTTTGTTGATGTTTTGTATTTTTTTGTTTCAATTTCTTCTCTGCCTTTTATTATTTCTTTCCTTGTATTAGGTTTGGGTTTAGTCTGTTCTTGTTTTTGTAGTTCCTTTAGGTTCATCATTCAGTTTTTATTTGGAGTGTTTCTATTTTTTTACTGTAGGCATTTATTGTTATAAACTTCTCTTTTAGTACTGCTTTTGCTGTATGCCATAAATTCTGCTATGGTGTGTTTCCATTTTTATTGGTTTCAAGACATTTTCCATTTTCTTCTTAATTATTTCATTGATCCATTGGTCATTCGGCAGCATGTTGTTTAATTTCCATGTATTTGTACAATTTCCAAAGTTTATTTTCTTACTTATTTTTAGTATTATTTCATTATGGTCAGAAATAATACTTAATATAGTTTTGACTTTTAAAAATTTGTTGAGACATGTTTTGTGGCCTCATTTATGGCCTATTCTGAAGAATATTCCATGTACTAACAATAAATGTTTATTCTTCAGCAGTTAGATGAAATCTGTAAATATCTGTTAGGTCCATTTTGTCTAGAGTGTAGTTTAACTCCACTATTTCTTTGTTGATTTTCTACCTGGATGTTCTGTCGATTGCTGAAAGTGAGTTATTGAAGTCCTCTACTATTCTTATATTGCAGCCCTGCTCTCTCTTTAGATCTATTCATATTTGTTTTATATATTTGAATGCCTCAGTGTTAGGTACATATAGATTTACTATTGCTATATGTCTTTCCTCATTGACCCATTCATCATTATAGATAATAACCTTATTTGTCTCCTTTTACATTTTCTAACCAAAAATTCATTTTATCTAATAGAAGTATAACTACTATTGTTTATTTTGTTTTCTTGGTTTCTCTGCATGGAATATCTTTTTCCATCCCTTTCAGTTTATGTGTGACTTTATAAGTAAAGTAAGTTTCTTGTAGGCAGCATACATGTGAGTCCCTTTTTTATTTATTTAGCCACACTGTCTTTCAAGTGGAGATTTAGCCCATTTACATGTAGTGTTATTATTGATAGGTAAAGACTTATACTGCCATTTTATTACTTGTTTTCTAGTTGTTTTGTAACTTCTCACTTCTTTTCTTCCTATCTTACTGTCTTCATCTGGGATTAAGATATTTTCTTGGTGGTATATTTTAACTCCTTCATTTGTATTTCTAGAGTATCTATTCTTGGTTTGTGCTTTGTGGTTACTATGAGCTTAAAAAACATCATATAGTTATAAAACACATTTAAAACTGAAGCAAACTTAACTTTTATTGCATAAAAATGAAACAAATAACCTCTCCCCCAAAATTTTGTACAAATTAATTCCCTTCTTCCTTCACATTTTGAATTTTTGATGTCATGATTTTCATTTTTTAAATTGCCTATCTCTTATCAAATTGTTTTAGTTTTTAGTATTGCTAATAGTTTTGTCTTTTAGTCTTCTTACTAAACTTATAGGTGATTGAAACACCATGATTACAATATTCATATGATAATCATGTTAGTAATTTTTTCTTTCAGTTGGAAGAACTCCCTTTAGCATTTACTGTATGACAGGTCTGGCTGTGATAAATTTCCTCAGCTTTTGTTTGACTTGGAGAGTGTTTTTTTCTCTCCTTCATTTCTGAAGAATAGCTTTTCTGAGTAGCCCATTATTCTTGGTTGGCATTTTCTTCCCTTCATTAATCTTTGTAAATCATCTCACTCCCTCTTGGCCTGTAAGATTTCTGCTGAGAAGTCTGCTTCCAGCTGTATTTGCTCTTTCTTATATATTATTTAATTCTTTCCTCTTGCTTCTTTCTATAGCCTGTCTTTATCTTTGACCATTGAGAGTTTGATTATAATATTTAATAAGAATATTAAATGTTTTTATTTGGGTTGAATATAATTGGTGATCTTTTAACTTCCTGTACCTGGAAAGATTATCTATATCTCTCTCCAGGTTTAGAAAGATTTTGGTTATTATTTCTTTGGATAAGCTTTGTACTCTTTTGCCTCACTCAGTTTTTTCTTTAACTCCAATAACCCAAATATTAGCCATATAGGGTTTCATAGATCCCATAAACTTTGCTTATTCCTTTGCATTCTTTTTTAAAAAAAACTTTTTCTCTTCTGTCTGTATTTTCAAATAGTCTCCTTTAAACTCACTGATTCTTTCTTCTATTTGATTTATTCTGCCATTGATGATCTCTATTGTATTTTTCATTTCATTTACGGTATTTTTCTGCTCCAGAATTTCTGTTTTATTTTTTAAAAATCATTTATCTCTGCTAAATTTCTCTGTTAAATGTTTGAATTGGTTCTCTGTGCTCTCTTGAAGTTTGCTCGGCTTCCTTAAGACACATATTTTTAATTATTTTTCTAAGAGATTATACATCTCCATTACTTTAGGGTTGATCTCTGGTATCTTATTTTGTTTGCTTGAAGAGGTTGTATTTCTGATCTTCCTGATGCTTGTGAAAGTGCAACAATGTCCACTCATTGAAGGATTAGGTATTTATTTTGGTCTTCAGAGTCTGGCTTTGTTTTTACTTTTTCTTCTTCAAAGGGTTTCCCAGAGATTCTAAAGCAACTGACCATTGTGTTCCCTGAGCCGGTGACCACTGCAGCCATATTAGCACTAGAGGATGTTCTAATCAGGCTTGCTGTGAGTCTCATGAAGATACCAAGGTTGTAATGGCTTCCTTGTCTTCATGAACATGGGGAAAACCCAAGGAGGGTACTATGTGGGAATGCTGGCCAGAAACTTCAGCTCAGAAATCTATCCTGATGGTCCACATAGACATGCCTCACAGAATGTCTCTGCACAGATAGGATGGGTTCCCAACAGCAGTGAGAGGGGCTAGAGCTAAGACTGGGCCCCCTTGGGATATGTGGTGGGAAAGAGGCTGGAGAGCCTGGTCTTAGCTCAGTGAATTTCATGTTGTCCTGAAAGTTCCTGCACAGATAGGATAGTTACAAACTGTAGAAAAGGGACGAGAGCTGTTACTGAGCTACATTGGGATATTCTGTGGGATGGAGGTTGGTGGACCTGTCACATTGTTTCAGATGGGCTTGTGTCTTCCAACAGACTTCCACACAGACATGTTAGTTCCCCAACTGCAGCAGTAGTGGCTAAAGTTGAGACTGGACTCCCCTAGAATCTGCTGTGAGACAGAGGCTGGAGAGCTTGATCTTAGTCCAGAGGTGTATGTTCTTGGACAGATAAGATAGTTCCTTAACTGTGGCAGGAGAGTCCAGAGCTGAGACAGGCCCACTCAGGATTTGTTGAGGGAAAGAAGCTGGATAGATTGTTCTTGTTAGCTCAGGCTGGCATGTGTCTCCCAGCAGGTCTCAGCACAAATGGGAAAGCTTCCCAACTGTAGTGGGAAGGGTTGGAGCTGAGACTTGCACCCCCAAGATCCACTGTGGGGCTGAGTCTGGAAAGCCTGGTCTTGTTGGCTCAGAGGGTTTTACATCTCCCCACAAGATCCTGCAGAGCCAGAATAGTTCCCTGATTTCAGCAGGACGTACCAGAACTGGGGCTGGTCTCCCTTGAGATCTGCTGTAGAATGGAGGCCGAAGAACTTGATCATTGGCTAAGAGGAGTGCACTTCTCCCAGCAATACACTGAAGGCTCCTAAAGAGAGAATTTTGACTGCAGATGGATGCAGAATTCTTGTCATGGGGGATATGAATGGGTCACCTTTTATTCTGCTATTTTGGTGACATCACTCCCTGGATCTCTTTTCTATTTACGCTAAGTCTGTTGGTGATCTCTTCCAGTTCCATTGCTTATAAATTAACTCTATGCTGTATCAGGGGAACCAGCCCCCAATATTTCAATGTAGGTTCTTTCTATTTTCCACAAGTGTCAGCCAGCTGAGAAATAAAGAGAAAGAGTACAAAGAGAGGAATTTTACACCTGGGCCTCTGGGGGTGACATCACATATCGGTAGGACCGTGATGCCCCCCTGAGCCACAAAACCAACAGTTTTTATTAAGGGTTTCAAAAGGGGAGGGGGTGCAAGAAGAGGGTGGAGGTCACAAGATCACATGCTTCAAAGGGCAAAAAGGAGAACAAAGATCACAAGGCAAAGGGCAAAAGCAAAGATCACAAGGCAAAGGGCAAAAGAAGAGTTACTGATAAGGGTCTATGTTCAGCAGTGCAGGTATTGTCTTGATAAACATCTTAAACAACAGAAAACAGGATTCAAGAGCAGAGAACTGGTCTGACCTCAAATTTGCGAGGGTGGAATTTCCCAATCCTAGTAAGCCTGAGGGTACTGCGGGAGACCAGGGTGTATTTCAGTCCTTATCTCAACCACATAAGACAGACACTCCCAGAGCGGCCATTTATAGACCTCCCCCCAGGAATGGATTCCTTCCCCAGGGTATTAATTATTAATATTCCTTGCTGGGAAAAGAATTTAGCAATATCTTTCATACTTGCACATCCATTTATAGGATCTCTGAAAGAAGAAAAACATGGGTCTAGTTTGCTCAACCCCACAGGCAGTCAGACCTTATGGTTGTCTTCCCTTGTTCCCTGAAAATGCTGTTATTTTGTTCTTTTTCAAGGTGCACTGATTTCATATTGTTCAAATGCACATGTTTTATAATCAGTTTGTACAGTTAACACAATAGTGGTCCTGAGGTGATATACCTCCTCAGTTTAGGAAGATAACAGGATTAAGAGATTAAAGACAGGCATAAGAAATTATAAAAGTATTAATTTTGGGAACTGATAAATGTCCATATTAAAATGAAATCTTCACAATTTATATTCAGAGATTGAAGTAAAGGCAGGTGTAAGAAATTATAAAAGTATTATTTGGAAACTGATAAATATCCATGCAATCTTCACAATTTATGTTCCTCTGCCGCGGCTCCAGCCGGTCTCTCGGATCAGGGTCCCCGACTTCCTGCAACAATGCTGAATACACCCACATTTCATTTTCAAGCCTGAATTTATTTCCTGACCCCAGTCTCATGTATTCAACTCCTTAAATAACATCTCTACTTGGATATCTTTAAAAGTTTCTTAAATCTAATACATCCAAAACTGGGCCCAGACTGCCATCCCCTAATTTTTCTTCTCCTACAGGACTGTTCTCTACCACCTCGGGATTGGCAATTTCATCCTTCTAGTTCCTTAGGCCAAATACCTTAGAGTCATCCTTGACCTCTTTCTGTTCCCTGCATCTACATCATCTCTGTCAGCAAATCTTGGCAGTTCACCTTTGCCGTATAACCACTCATGACAGACTTCTTTGCTATCAAACCCTAGTCTAATACCAATATTTCTCATTTGAATTATTGCAATACCTCCCTAACTAGCCTCCATTCTTACTCTTGGTGATGGCAAACAAAATTATGTTTTAAAGAGATGTGAGAGCCTGTCACTTTCATGTTCAAATCCCTTCTCATACTGAGAAAAAGCCAAGAGTATTACAGCAGCCTATTATCACACACAGTTTGAATTTTTTCATTCTTCTTTTCTCTGTTTTTATCTCCTACAACTCTTCCCCAGGCTCCCTGTCCTTGAACTGCCTAGGTCAAGCTCCTACCTCAGGACCTGTGCACTTGCTTTACTCTGGGCTTGAAATGGTCTTCTCAAAGACATCTGCACAACTCCTTCTCTTTTTTCTTTAGTTTCTTATATCAAAGTTACATTCTTGATGTGGCCTTTCCTGACAACTTTATTTATCATTATGCTTATGTACTTCCTCAGCACCAGCACTGCCTACCTTCTCTGCTTTATTTTTATTTATTTTATTTATGTTATACCCATAGTCTAAACTGGACCATCAATATCAGCACTATAATTTTATTAACAACGGCAGTGTTATCCAAAGTCATAGGATGGTGGATGTAATCTGAGAAGATGTTGACATTTAAGTAGGGTCCTGTTCTGTCTTTAGCAATTAGTCTAGTTCATCATCATATCATATGACCAAAATATTTCCCAGAATAAGGCCACTACAGTTTGCAGGCCTCCATTTGATACTGTCAAATTCTCAAAACAGGAATGGTCTCAGCAATATATGGCTTCACCTTTTCAGGCTTCTGGTATAATTGAGCTAAGAGACCATATCATGTCTTACTCTGAGTCTCTTTCAAGGCATTAATGTTATATTGAGTTTCCTTCATTGCATAATCCATTTGTTCATTTATGTACCTTCAACTACTATTCCTCCTTCTCTTAAAGTCAGATTTTACCCTATTGGAAGGTACATTAGGATCAGCTACTGTGCTGGACTGCAGGCAGCAATACTAGTGTAGTAAGTGCCTCTCTGTCAGCCCACTCCCATCCATATAGGGCAGACTGGGTACAGAATATGTGGGCTATCTTACCCACTAAGACATACAGCTGTGTTCACCATCAACTCTAGTTTTTCCAGATGGGGTGAGTACGGTTCACCCCATCAGGACCTTGGGAACTGTGACACTAAGGTTTAAAGCTATATTTGCACTTTCTTGCTTCCAGCAAGGATCATTCCAGCTCTGGCACTTACCATTGAAGTTTAAGCTTTGGGACCACTGCATTAGGTTAAAAAAATAAGGTAATATGGAGATTTAAAAAGTTGAGGTGATATGGGGAAAATTTTATAGTTATGTCAGCATTCTCCCTTGCCCCCTGTTCCTTGGGTCCAACATAAAAGTGGAAGAATCTGTCCAATGGGGTCCCTCCCTTGCTTCCCTCCCCATGTTGAATGTAAGCACACATTAGTGAAGATGTGTAAACCAGTCCTTCATTCCTGAAACAACCCATGTTTCAATTGCTCTTTCTAATTCACTGTCAAACCATTCTTCCAAGGATGTCATTTCTCTGCCCATTATTGTTGCCAATGTAAAGTGTATTTTGTAGTCTGTAAAAATGTGACTTGGTGGTCCAAACTGGTGCAATATCTTCTGTTCTGGCTCTTTTGTAGTACTCTCAATATTTGCATCTACTAGCAGGTAAGCAAATCTTAGTCCAGAGTAAGTGTTTCTTCTTATTAGGACACATTTGTAGCCTCATGGAGCTAATGATATCAGTCTAACTTTCCAGTTAATTGCAAGGCCTTATTCCTCCCAGGGAGTCTTCCCCATAGCCATCTGCAGTCTCTGTATCACTCGTTGCTAAACAGAACAGTTATTCTTGGCATTTTACGCATTAGAGTGCAATTCTAATGCAAATTCTACAAAAAGAATATGTCTAGATTCAGTCCATCTCTGCGTTGTTGTGGTACCTCCATTATTCCCCCTCATTTCATGGACCCAGGTGGCCACCTCAGTCAAGCACAACAGGAAATCTGTTAATCATTTCTGACCACCTTTCCATTCTGGAAGGGGGCTCCTTTGATGGGCATCAACATGGCTTAATGTAATGAACACCTCAAATTACATAGTGATGTCTACAGGGCCATGCACCATATTGGTATCACTTTAATAGGCTATTTTTTCATTGGCCTGTTACCTGACCCTATGGCCAGACTTTGGACAAAACAAAAATGTAGGGGGCAAACCACTCAATTCATCCCATCAAGCTTATTTTTTCTACCTTCTTCTGTCAGAATTATAACCTTCCAAACAGGATGTTGTCCATTTACCTTGAGACTGCCATCTCTAAACCAAGAAGTTCCTTTTTTGGTCAGCCAAGAGCTATTTGTGGTCACCAGTCAAGTAGCAATAGGATCTGGTTACCATTCAGGTGGGTTCCACAGTCTTAGGAAAAAAGACGCTCTCTGCTTGTTAGTACCTTCTTGTGTTGTTCTAGTAGCATTTTCTTATATAATTCATTTCATTTGTCTTTTAGAACTCTTCTGGAATTTGCCCTTCTTATTAGAACATTTATCTGACACCACTCAATATATTTTAGGCATTCAGTCTTCAAAATTATTTTTTGCCTTTCATCTACAGGGCAGTGTCAATCAAAGGCCAATATTTAGCCACTAATTGCCTCTTACATTGACATTTTCTGGCCTGAAATTCCAGTAGTTGTGGCTAGGTGCTGCTAATAGGATTTTGCAGTAGTCACCATCTATGTTTTCCTTAGACTACTGTACAGATAATTTGCTGGTATCAGCATTCCAACTTCTATTCTATGCTGTTTAAAATTAATGACTTGTATGGGCTCTGAAAATCTTATTGGCTCTTATTTAGTACAGCCATGCATCACTCAAAGGCAGAAATATATTTTGAAAATGTTTTGTTGGGCGATTTTATCCTTATTTAAACATCTTAGAGTGTACTCACACAAAACTAGATGATATAGCCTACTACACACCTAGGCTATATGGTCTAGTGTATTGTTCCAAGGTTGTGACCATGTACAGCATGTTACTCTATTGAATACTGCAGGCAACTGTAATACAATGCTAATAATTTGTGTATCTAATTACATCTAAACATAAAAAGTTCCAATAAAAATGTGGTATAAAAGATAAAAAATGGTACAACTGTATAGGGCACTTGGTGGCATGAATGGAGTTTGCAGGACAAGGAGGTGCTCTGGATGAGTTAGTGAGTGAGTAATGAGTGGATGGGAAGGCCTAGGACATTACCATACACTGCTATAGACTTTATAAACACTGTATACGTAGGCAACACTAAATTTATTTTAAAATATTTTAATTGTTCAATAATACATTAACCTTAGATTACTATAACTTTTTAGCTTAATAAATTTAAATTTTTCGAATTTTATGACTCTTGTAACAGCTTAAAACATATTGTACTACTGTAAAAGTTATATTCTTTATGTTTTATTCTATAAACTTTTCTCTATTTTTACATTTTTATTTATTTTTACTTTTTACACTTTTTTGTTGTTGTTACAAGTTAGACATGTAGCCTCGGCCTACAGAGGGTCAGGATCATTGATATCACTGTCTTCCATCTCCACATCTTGTCCCACTGGAAGGTCTTCAGAGGCAGTAACACACATGGAGCTCTCATCTCCTATGATAACAATGCCTTCTTCTAAAATACCTCCTGAAGAGCCTGCCTGAGGCTGTTAGAAAGTTTACTTTTTTTTAATAAGTAGAAGAAGTATACTCTAAAATAATGATAAAATGTATATTATAGTAAATCCTAGGAAATAAGAATTTTTCAGCTTCACTAAAATCTTATGGGACTATTGCCATATAGGTAGTCCATTGTTACCTGAAACATTGTTATGTGACCCATAACTGTATATTCAATTAATATGGCCTGAAGGGTGAATTTATGTGCATTCTGTTTTGTGATACTGGGTATGGAACATGTTCCCCTGTCAGATATAATATATTTATTTCTGTAATCACCCCAAGCTTATGATATATTCAGGTAGAGGAGATGCTACCACTTCACATAAAGTCTGCTCAAATATTCCAATATTCATCCAATTTTTCTCCATAATATCTCAACCCTTGCATTTCTATATCCTCTAAATTCAATTGTAGCCCCTGGTAGTGCTTCAACAATGGGTTTAGTATCTCAGTGCATGGGGGTCCCATGTCAAGTAGTCCCAGAAACATGTTTTCTCTATACCCTCAGCATTTTACCCACTCATCTACACAAAGCGTTGAGTCTCCAGTAGGGGACTCAATCTTTGCAGTGATGAGATTTCTTCTGGGATCATCACCTAGATAATTCAAAGTCCTTGTTTCTTAAATTCATCCAAACTAGGTGAATAAAAGGTTTTTTTTTGGTGGACCAACAGGGGCTCCCACTTGTCAATCTATCCTCTGAGCGTGGTTGGTCTGAGCGTGGGGGCCAACAGGGGCTCTTACTGGTCAATCCAACCCCTGAGTGTGCTGCATTAAGATCTTTGTTTTCACCCCATCAATGTCTACTTTATTCAACTCATTTAAAAATAACTGCTTCAAGATTTTCATCCTACTGGGATGAGTTCCTTAACTCTCCCCTATCTCTTTCCTCTATGTTTTGCCCTCACGCATGCTTGATTTATTTACCCCATTTTAAAATAACTGTTTAGTTATTTCCACGCTGGTGGATTGAATTCCTTGATTCTCCTTTTTGCTTTTTCCTATTATCTTGGGACTCAGTCTAAACCTTCTTCAATATTTGTTGTTTCAGCATAACTTTTCATTTTGGAAATGGCTCTGAAGCTAGCAGTTCTGCCTCAGGCCAGCCAGAATCTAAACTTTATCTAGTATCAGGTTCTCCTCCAAAACATTGCTATAGTGGGTGCTCTGAGACTAGAGGCCATAGTTCCTAGGCGCTAGGAAAAGGAGCAAATGGGGGAAAATATAGAAGAAAATATTAAAAGGACATACAGTGAGGAAATAATATAAAAACAGAGTTGTAATGTGTAAATAATCAGAACTCAAAAGCATTAACAATATAATACACAGACATTAAGAAACGCTGACCGTCTGTTCTCTATAGCACATATGCAAGAAATTAAAGGACAACAATAAAGCCTAAAACATTGAGATACTGGCCCACAATTTCCTGGCAAACAATACTTGTCAGCTTTCTGTGTAAAAAAAATGTGTCTTCAGTGCTGAATGCAAATTGAATAATGTATTTGTTTTCAATTATAATGTTTGTTTAGATATTAGGTTAAGTGCAAGGTTGAAGATAAGATACAACTAGATGATTCTTGAGCAAAATTTTTTTGTTTTGTTTCAAGTTTCAGATTAGGAAGATATTGATTATATGGAATATCAGGAAACTTAACTGGCTAGAGTGAATTTTCTGTCATTGTATTATATACTGTGTTGAATATACAACAGCATAAAAAATGCTGTCGTAAGTCCTAAATGATTAATTCTTAGCTATTTCTTATATTTCTACCTAATAAATACGAGTTTTTGGTAACGGCTAATTTTTTTCTGCTTTATTGTGATGTGAGACAAATACAAATTATATATATTTAAAGTGTAAAACATAATGTTGTGATATATGTGTGTGTCGTGAAGTGATTAATCAGGTTAATGAACATATCTATCACCTCACATCATTAACACTTGTGTGTTTGTGTGTAGTGAGAATACTTAAGATCTAATCTGTAGTTCCTGCTAATTTTTAAAAATTAGGTAAGATTTAAAAAATCTAGAGAATGATATAAACCATTGCATACACCACAGGTATCTTCAGAAAAGAGAGCATTTTCTAGGGTTTCTGCATATGACTGTATAGGTCATGGTATATTTACTTGTGAGGGTGGTATTTGTACAGACTACCATGAGGTGGCTCCCCTGAAGTTGCACACCAGGCTGACACACTTTGTAATGTCTGCTACAGAATTTTTAAAAGAAATAAAACATACAATTGAAGCACTTCTTTTTACCTTTCCTTAACCCTATTCCTCCTAAAAATAGAAAAATAAGTCTAAGGTTCATGCATATTTTTCCTCATAGTATTTTTACATTTTTAAAATGCTTTTTTTTTTAAAAAAAGATAATGAGTAGAAGGAATTGAAATCCTTCTATTAATAGTGTTTGTCACTCTTATTATCAAATGGTTGTAATTAAAGCATTATATCCTACCTACTTTAAGAGCAAATTTAACAGAAAAAATATCTAGGACAAATTTTCCCAAGTGTGGTTACTAATGCACGAGCACTATTTGGATAACTTGTTCTAAATGTAGAATTCCAGACTCTACTCCCTGTGCCCATATCCTAAAACCTAATGCCAGAGAAGCTCTTCAGGTGATTCTCACATTCAGTAAACTTAAGGAACTCATGGTCTAAGATGAAATAGTCATGTGACTGTAGGCTATCTAATTTCATACTTACAACTAAAAGCCCTTATTATGGTTTGAATATGTGATAAGTATATCCATAATGATAATTAGTAGCAGCTAAAACATGTAAACGATGTTAGTCTGTTTTATGCCCAAGGAAGTTTATCTTTTATTGAAAGATAATTTTATGCACTACTAAAAAAAACCATACCAATTAAGTCAGAAAAAATTGCTTTCTTATCACTTAAATTTGTATATTGATCGAAATAGCTCTTATTGACTTGAAATAGAAAACATGCAACCTGTTCTCATGATCTGAATCCTTTAGAAGCTTTATTATTGATAGCATAATTTTGAGTCATGTCGATTCTAGCAGAATTTTTTTATTTGATAAGACTTCAGCCTCATATTTGCATCAGTTGAATCACATGCCACTGGAAGAAGTTATGCAGCTCCTGTTCAAATTTAGAAGTTTCTCACAAATCAATGTTTGATGACTTAATGATCACATGACTGTTCAATACATGAATCACATGACTTAGTCACTCCAAATTCTCAGGGCTTTGAGATGGCTTTCAATTATTTGGGTGATTTGCCAGTATTTTTCTTGTAATAGTGGTACGTGATACTAAGTAGATTTCTTGCAAAAGTAGCCTTAATTCTCCATTGTTTTCTTTTTTCTTTCTTTCTTTCTTTTTTTTTTTTTTTTCCAAGATGGAGTCTAGCTCTGTAGCCGAGGCTGGAGTGCAGTGGTGCAATCTCGGCTCACTACAAACTCTGCCTCCTGGCTTCAAGCGATTCTCCTGCCTCAGCCTCCTGAGTAGCTGGGATTACAGGTGCCTGCCGTCACGCCCAGCTAATTTTTGTATTTTTAGTAGAGACGGGGTTTCACTATGTTGGCCAGGCTGGTCTCGAACTCCTGACCTCGTGATCTGCCCACCTCAGCCTCCCAAAGTGCTGGGATTACAAGCATGAGCCACCATGCTTTCTAATTGCCAATTAGAAAGCCAATTCTCCATTGCTTTCTAAATGCATACTACTTACAGTGTGACATTTCAGCCCCTTCTATCAAGGGAAGGGGCCTGCTTCACCACCCCTTGTGTCTGCATTGGCCTTGTCACTTGCTTGAACTAAAAAAAATGTGGTAGAAGTAGCAGTGTACCAATTTGGAGCCTAGTCCTCAAGAGAACTTGGACATGTTTCTTTAGTCACTTTAAACATCTCCTGTCATGTGAACAAGCCCAGCCTAGCCTGCTGGAAGATGAGAGACTGTGTGGACCAGAGCATTTCATTCCTCCAATGAAGTATGAAACTTGAAGTATTTACTTCAAGTTGATGCTCTGACTGTTTTGTTTCTGAGCATTTCTGTGTAAAATGACATTTCATTTTGAAGCAGAATCAGAATGTAATCTCTGTGAAACTAATTAAATTCCACACATGAACTAGAAATAGTACCTATACTCAAAGTGGTAACAATATAAACAGTTGTGATAAGTTTGTACATATAAGGCAATGAGTATATCATGGCTGGCCCCTGCCTAATAGTGCTTTTAAGATGCTTCAGATATCAGAGATTAATACTAAGTGTGCCCACTTCTTGCACATGCACCCTCTGTTGTAGGATAGTTTGTTCCATTACACTAAATTAACATATTGAGGAGTTAATGAATTTTCATTTAATACACATGTAATCTCTAATCTGACCTGTATTACAACATTTTGCCAATTCATTTTGACTTTTAATTCTTATATTTTTGAGCACGCAGAATATTTAAGGATATATAAAAATTAAAAAGCATATATATTCTCCTTTCTTGCTTTCCCATTTTTTTAATGTTAGAAAGTCTTCTATTCAGAAATTTAATAAATATTTACTTCTATTTTAAAAATATTTGTTTATAAATTAATACACATAATACATAATAATTAGAAAATTTGTGGAATGTAGAAAAATCACAAAAGAAAATATAATCATTCAGAATCTCACTCTAGAACTATTAATATTTATAATTATTTTAACCTTCTTGGTTTATATATATATTCTTTATATTATCAATGTTTGTGAATAATCAATCACATTCTTATCTCCCTTTGAGTTTGGAACAAATTGCGAAATAATCTAAGAATTTGAAAAATGAAAGTTATGTTATCAGGTCTGTTATTGAAAACTTTGTAGACTGTAGCTGGACTTCTGACCAGCATCGAACTATTTATGATTTAATCTTATACATAAATTTATTAACCTAATTGCAGGCAGAGCACAGATGAAATGTCTCATGGAGGGTAGGACCAGAGACAGGCCTGAAAAGACAAAAAGGAAGATCCCGTTTCTAAAAACCCACTAGATTAATGACTTAGAGGAATGGGGTAGATAGCAGAAAGAAGTGATAAAGCTACTTCAAAAAGAAGAGAAGTTTATATTCAGTGAATCCTGGAAAAAAATCTGGAAGATCATGACACCAGTTTCTGTTATAAAGATTGTGCACGCTCTTGTGAAATCTCTTCCCCTACCCATTTCAGAGTCTATTAAAAACACTTCCTAATTTTAAGCTCTTACTCAATAGCTTAAACTGCTTATTATGGCAATATATGGCTATCCCACAGTATGCTTAAATAATTACCAAATGTTGGACATTAAGTTTGTTTCCAAGATTTTGTTAATATCAATTAGAGTGTGCTAAATATACTTGAAGAAAAGTCCTTGCATATGTAATATCATATATATATGCAATATATGTAAAATTGAATATATAATCATATATATTTATGTAGTTTTTAGAAATATGTTCCTGAGGTGCTATTCAACTCTTGTTTCTTATGTGAACTGCCATTTTTTTTATGTTAAGAAAGTCTAACAGTTCAAAACACTTTGAGGATGTCACTCTTTCTGATACCAACATAACATATATTTCCAGTTTGATAGATAATTCATCATATATTAATTTTGATTTTCTTTTACTTTTGCTTTGAAATAGAGCTGAATATTTTTTCTGTTCATTTGCTATTTGAGTTTCTTTTATAAATGTCAGGTTATATCTTTTGTTTACTTTTTTATTGGTGTTTTTATTATTCATTTGAAAGAATTCTTCACATATAAAATTTAGTAACTCTTTGAATGTATGTTTCAATATGTAATGGTATTTTGAAGTACAGAAGTTCTAACACAATATTTTTTATTCTCATTGTTCTGTATCTTTATGGTTCTTACTTTTGGTGTCAAACTAGAAAGAACTTTCCTCTTTTAGATAAAATAATTTTTTTTCTAAACTGTTTTTGGTTCTCATAGATTTTATTTTGGTACTTAAACTCTTAAAAGTTACTAGAAAACTTTTGAGAGAAAAAGTTAACAATTTGACCCATTTCCCCCTATTCATCAAAAGTATACTTTAAAACATTATTTATGTTATGTTAACTAATCCTCAATAATTTTGAATACCACATTTTATCACATTTTAAATAATTGTTAGCTTAAACTGCTTATATTGTTATAACTGGATTTTCTGTGCTCTTTCATTGACTTGTGTATCTATTTATAATATTTATAGTTATTTATACTGAATACCAAAATGTTGGTAAGTGTCTAATTTTCCTACTACTCATTACTTTCATTAAAAATATATTTCCTTCACTGAATTACCAATGATTTTTTAAAATCTAAACACACATAATCACATCATTAATCTGGAAGTTTGATTTGAGTTGCATTACATGTAAATAAGTGTGGAGAAGAAGAGGAATTTCATATAAATGGAATCATACAATACCTGCCTTTTGTGTATGGCTTCTTTCATTTAGCATAATGTTTTCAAGGTTCATCCACATTGCAGCATTTATTGGTACTTCATATCCTCTTATGGTTGAATTCATTTTCTATTGTTTATGTGTACCACATTTTATTTATCTGTTCATCTATTGATAGAAATTCGGTTCATTTCCACCTTCTGGCTATTTTGAATATTGCTGCCATGAACATTCATATACAAATGTCTGTTTGAGTACTTGTTTTCCGCTCACTGTATTGTAACTGAAGTCCTCCCCTACTCTAGGTTCATAAACATAATGGCAGATAAGATATTCCAGTATACTTACAGTATATAGAGTTTTGCTCTATGTACGTCTTTAATCTGAAATTTATTTTCCCTGTGTGATGATAAAGGGATTATATTTTTATTTTTAAAGAAATTAATAGGCAAGTACCTCAACCTTGTTATTGAACAGTGTCCTTGTCTACTGAAACGAAATCTGTTTCTATTTCCATCTTATACTGTGGTTTAGGGTTCTATTCTGCTCTACCAACTTTTTCCCTTCTTATTCAAAACTGTTATCCTATTTTCTTCACCTATTTGGATAATCACAGATGTTTAATGGACATGCTGAACTTTGTTTTGGTGACAGTGTTGTGAAAAATTAGTCTACATGGTTCCCCAAATGTTCAAAGAACTATACAGTCTCTTGGTTTCTGTCAATTTCAGATTGATCTTTGTAATTTAAGCACCAGATTGTGATTAAAATAATTTTCCTTTTTTTTTTTTTCCTTGAGACAGAGTCTTGCTTTGTTGCCCAGGCTGGCTGGGGATTGCAGTGGCGTGATCTTGGCTCACTGCGACCTCTGCCTCCCAGGTTCAAGGAATTCTCCTGCCTCAGCCGCCTTGAGTAGCTGGGACTACCGGTGCAGGAAACCATGCCAGGCTAATTTTTGTATTTTTAGTAGAGACGGGGTTTCACCATGTTGGTCAGGATGGTCTCGATCTCCTGAACTCGTGATCCACCTGCCTCGGCCTCCCAAAGTGCTGGGATTACAGGCGTGAGCCACCGCAGCCGGCCAATTTTCCATTTTACATTCAACCCTTACACAATAAATTCTTAGTAAAGAATCCTTACCAAATTATTTTTAAAAAATCATTTCAACTTTTATTTGAGATGGGCACCTAGGTTGATTCCATGTGTTTGCTATTGTGAATAGTCCTGCGATGAACACAGGCATACGTGTGTCTTTTTGGTAGAATGATTTATTTTGGGGGATATATACCCAGTAATGGGATTGCTGGGTCAGATGTTAGTTCTGTTTTAAGTTCTTTGAGGAATTTCCAGACTGCTTTCCACAGTGGCTGAACTAATTTACACTCCCACCAGCATTCCCTTTTCTCTGCAGACTCTTCAGCACTCGTTGTTTTTTGACTTTCTGGTAATAGCCATTCTGACTGATGTGAGATGGCATCTCATTGTGGTTTTGACTTGTATTTTTCTGATGATTAGTAATGTTGAACATTTTTTCATAAGCTTGTTAACTGTTGGTATGTCTTCTTTTGAGGAGTGTCTGTTTATATCTTTTGCCCACTTTTTAATGGAGCTATTTGTTGTTGTTGTTGTTGTTGTTGTTTGCTTCTTAAATTACTTAAGTTCCTTATAGATGCTGGATATTAGACCTTTTTCAGATGCATAGTTTGTGAATATTTTCTCCCATCCTGTAGGTTGTTTGTTTAATCTGTTGCTAGTTTATTTTGCTGTGCAGAAGCTTTTTGGTTTAATTAGCTATCACTTGTCAGTTTTTATTTTTGTTCCAATTGCTTTTGAGAATGAAGTCATAAATTATTTCCCGAGGTTGATATCCAGAATGGTGTTTCTTAGGTTTTCCTCTAGGATTCTTATAGAAGTTTTATGCTTAAATCTTTAATCTATCTTGAGTTAATTTTTGTGTACGGTGAAAGATAGGGGTCCAGTTCCATTTTTCTGCATGTAGATAGCAAGCTATCCCAATGGCATTTATTATATAGGACCTATTTCCCCCATTCCTTATTTTTCTTGACTTTTTCAAAGATAAGATGGCTGTAGTTGTGTGGCTTTATTTTTGGGTTCTCTATTCTGTTCCTTTAGTCTATGTGTCTGTTTTTGTACCAGTATCATGCAGTTTTGATTACTGTAGCCTTACAGTATAGTTTCAAGTTGGGTAATGTGATGGCTCCAGCTTTCCTCTTTTTGCTTAGGATTACTTTGACTATTCAAGTGATTTTTTGGTTCCATATGAATTTTAGAATAGCTTTCCTAATTCTGTGGAAAAGGATGTTAGCAGTTTTATAGGAATAACATTGAATCTGTAGAGAACTTTGGGCAGTATTGCCATTTTAGTGATACTGATTCTTCCATGAACATGGAATGTTTTTCCATATACGTCATCTCTGATTTCTTTCATGTGGGTGTTTTGTAGTTCTTGTAGAGATCTTTCACTTCTTTGGTTATATGTATTGCTAGGTGTTTTATTTTTTGTGTGTGGCTATTGTAAATGAGATTATGTTCTTGATTTGGCTGTCAGCTTGAACATTATTGGTGTATAAATATCCTTGTGATCTTTGTACATTGAGTTTGTATCCTGAAACTTTACTGAAGTCGTTTATCAGTTCTAGGAGTCTTTTGGCAGAATCTCTAGGGTTTTCTAGGCACAGAATTATATATATAGTGAAGAGAGATAGTTTCATTTCTTCTTTTTCTATCTGGATGCCTTTTATTTCTTTCTCTTCTCTATTTACTCTGGTAAGAACTTTGTATTTTGTTGAGGAGTTTTGCATCTATGTTCATCAGGGATATTGGTCTGTAATTTTCTTTTTTATTGTGTCTTTGCCAGGTTTTTGTATCAGGGTGATGCTGACTTCATAGAATGTCTTAGGGAATAGTCCTTCCTCCTCAATTTTTAGAATAATTCCAATAGAATTGGTATCAGCCCTTCTTTGTTCAGCTGTGATTCTAACTTGTCCAGGTTTTATTTGTTGTTGCTTTTTTCTTGTTTTTGGTTGGTAGGTTTTTTATTACTTATTAAATTTTGGAACTAGATATTAGTCTGTTCAGGATTTCAATTTCTTCCTGATTCAATATTTGGAGATTGTGTATTTCCAGGAATGTATCCATTTCCTCTAGAATTTCTAGTTTGTGTGCATTGAGGTGTTCATAGAAGTCTCTGAGAATCTTTTGGATTCCTGTGGGATTGGGTTGTCTTGTCACCTTTGTCACTTCTGATTGTCCTTATCTGGATCTACTCTCTTCTCTTCTTTATTAATCTAGCTCATGGTCTATCAGTTTTGTTTATCCTTTTGAAGATCTAACTGTTCGTTTCATTGATGCTTTATATTAATTTTTTTGGTCTCAATTTCATTCAGTTATGCTCTGATTTTAGTTATTTCTTTTCTTCTCCTAGCTTTTGGGTTAATTTGTTCTCATTTCTCTAGATTTTCTGGGTGTGATGTTAGATCATTTATTTGAGATCTTTTTAACTTTCTGAGGCAGGTGTTTAGCACTATTAACTTTACTGCTTTTGCTGCATCCCAGAGCTTGTGGCATGTTGTTTCTCTGTTTTTATGTATTTCAAATAATTTTATTTCTGCCTTAATTTTATTGCTTACCCAAAAGTCATTCAGAAGCAAATTGTTCAATTTCCATATAATTTTGTGGCTTTTAGAGATCTTCTTGGTATTGACTTGTATTTTTATTCCAGTGTGGTTTCAGAGTATAGTTTGTATGATTTTATTTTTTTGTAATTTATTAGGATTTGCTTTATGGTTAAGCATGTGGTCAGTCATGGAGTATGTTTCATGTGCAAATGAGAAGAATGTTTATTCTGTGGTTGATGGGTGGATTATTGTGTAAATGTCTATTAGGTCCAATTGTTCAAGTGGAATTTAAGTCCTGAATTTCTTTCTTAGCTTTCTGTCTCAGTGATCTGTCTAACGCAACCAGTAGAGTATTGAAGTCTACCAGTATTATTGTGTTGCTGTCTAAGTCTTTTCATAGTCTAGAAGTCATTGGTTTATGAATCGGTTCTCCAATGTTGAGTGCATATATATTGAAGACAGTTAACGATTCCTGTTGAATTCAACCTTTTATTATTATACAATAATACTTCTTTGTCCTTTTTTTACTGTTGTTGGTTTAAAGTCTGTTTTATCTGATGTAAGAATAGTGACCACTGCTCTTTATTTGTTTTCCATTTTGCTTGACAGATCTTTCTCCAACCCTTTACTTTGAGCCTATGGTTGTCGCTGCTTGTGAGAAGGGTCTCTTGAAGACAGCAGATGGATGGGTCTTGTTTTTTTTGTTTGTTTGTTTAATCCAACTTGCAACTCTGTGCCTTTTAACTCTGTGTTTGGACAATTTACATTCAAGGTTAATATTGAAATATGAGGTTTTTGTACTTTGAAGTTGTTAGCTGATTGCTTTGTAGTTTCTACTTTGTGGTTGCTTTTTACGGTCTGTGGGCTCTAAAATTAAGTATGATTTTGTGGTAGCAGTCATCATTCTTTCATTCCCATGTTTAGAGCTCCCTTAAGAATCTCTTTTAAGGCTGATCTAGTGGTAATGAATTCCCTGAATGTTGGCTTGTCTGGAAAATTATTTCTCCTTTGCCTTATGCAGCTCAGTTTTGTGGGATATGTAATTATTTTTTGGAATTTCTTTTCTTTGAGAATGCTTAAAATAGGCTCCTATCCTCTTCTAGCTTGTAAGTTTGCTGCTGAGGAGCCTGCTGTTAGCTTTGTGAAGTTCCCTTTTTATGTGATCTGATCTTTTTCTCTAGCTGCCTTTAAGATTTTTTTCATTAATATTGACCTTGAATATCTGGCTACTATATACCTTGGTCATGTTTATTTTGCATAACATCTAACAGGTGTGCTCTGGATTTCTTGTATGTGGATGTCTACTCTTTTGCAAGATTAGGGAGATTTTCTTGAGCTACTCTTTTGCAAGATTAGGGAGATTTTCTTGAGCTATTCCTTCCAATATGTTATTCAGGTTGTTACTTTTTTCTCTCTCTCAGAAATGCCAAGAATTCATAGGTTTTGTTGCTTATGCAATCCCATATTTCTTTAAGACTTTGTTCATTTTTGTATGACTGGAATAGTTCAAAAGACTGGTCTTCAAGTTCTAAAATTCTTTTTCTTGGTCCAGTGTCTTGATAAAGCTTCCAATTATATTTTGAAATCCCTGAAGTAACTTTTTTTCAATTCCAGAAACTCTGATTGATTTCTTTTTAAGATGTATATCTCTTTCTTAATTTTCTGGATTGATTTAGAGGTTTCTTTGTGTTGATTCTCAACATTATCTTGGATCTTGTTTAGCTTCCTTGCAATCTATGCTTTGAATTCTTTATCTGTCATTTCTCAGTTTCCAATTTCATTAGGGACCATTGTGGAGAGTCAATGTGATGCTTCAGTGTTGTCACTACATTCTCATTTTTCATGGTGCCAGAATTCTTGCCCTGGTTCCTTCTTATCTGGAGATCCTGGCACTTCTAATTTTTGTAATTATTTTCATGTGGGCAGAATTCAATCTTTCTCTCTCTCTCCTTTAGACATAGTTCTGCTCTGTCACCCAGGCTGGAATGCAGTGGTGTGATTATGCCTTACTACATCCTCCACATCTTTGGCTCAACTGATCCTCCCACCCCAGCTTCCCTAGTAGCTGAGACTACAGGTACACACCACCATACCTGGCTATTTTTTGGTGGGGGGAGCAGGGGAGAGGCAACGTTTTACTTTTTCCCAGGCTGGTCTTGAACTCCCGGGCTCAAGAGATTCTCCAACCTCAGCCTCACAAAGTGCTCAGATTACAGGTGTGAGCCACTTTATAATGTCATTTTTTTCTTTCCCTTTCCCTTTCCCCTTCTTCCTAGTGAGTGTGAAAGTAGCAAATGTTAGGTTGGGTATTTTGGCTTTGCTTCTACAGCCCTATGCACTTCTGTCAGCAGGTTTTATACTGGGCTGTGTTCTTTGACTTACAAACCAGTAGATGGTGCATATGGGTAACAGCCAGCTGTGGATAACCTGGCTGGGTATATAATTCATCCTTGTTTACTGGAAGACGCTCTCTGTTGTCCCAAGCAATGGGCTGACCATGGAGTTCACAGTGGTCTGAGCTCCCTGCTAAATCCTAGGGCAGCAGGGGGCAGAATGGTTAGAGACAGACTGGGCAGGCCCACCTATAGTTCCCCTGATGGCAGGCACAAGCACTAATGCCAGGGGAGAATCCAGTGAGTGGTCACCCAGCACCCAGAGGTATGCCTAGGTGTGTGGCTAGGAAGCCACACAATCTCAGGAAGCAGGCTGCAGCAATTAGCAATGACACATGCAGACCGGTTCCAGGCATCAAACTGGTCCTGGCTGCAAGTCTCATCTCCCAAAAGAAATTTCAAGCATAGCAACTCTTCTCCCACACCAGGCCTGTAACTGAGGAGAGCACAGTTCCAGTACCTACTGCTGACGTACTTTACATAATTCTGGCTGTGGAAGCCTCTATGCTTCTCCAGAACAAGTGCTCCAATCTCTGCTCCAAGGCAAAAATGCCTGCACAGCTATGCTTCTGAGTTGCCATAACTTTGTATGCACCTGGATTTAAAATGCGATCCTGCTCTCAGTCCCAGGTCTGGGAAATTGCCTGTAACTTCTTTCTCTCTCAGAGCCTCCAAACCTTTCCCCAAGTTAGGTCTGGAGTTTGGGAGAAATAAAGTGCTCTCTCTTGGCCTGGGTTGTTGGATCCACAGTGGGAAGGTGAGTCACAGAGGGAGGCTCTCTGCCTCTCACATACTCGAACTTTACTAACTTTTATGAGCCACACACCATACAAAGGAGGATCTAGGGTGTCCTTCACGATTCTGATAGGTTTCCATCTTCCTTCTTGAATTAAAGCTCAGAGAGTTGACCTTTGTGTGCTGTCTTGCTATTTCCAAGTGGCTGAGACATGCTAAAAAACTCTGATTTGCCATCTCGGGAAAAACAAAACAAATCAAAAGAGACGAAAAACAAAAACACCTTACTAATTTTTGTATCAGTTTTGTATAATCCAAATTATTTTCTTGTTTGAAAATGTCCACTTTTTTTTGCTTTTAAATTAATCAATTTGTGGTAACGTTTCTTTTTTCTTTTCTTTTTTTTTTGTTTTTTGAGACAGAGCCTTGCTCTGTCATCTAGGCTGGAGTGCAGTGGCACAATCTCAGCTCACCGCAACCTCTGCCTCGTGGGTGCAAGCAATTCTCCTGCCTCCGCCTCCCGAGTAGCTGGGACTACAGGTGCCCACCACTACGCCTGGCTAATTTTTCGTATTTTTAGTAGAGACGGGGTTTCACCATGTTGGCCAGGATGGTCTTGATCTCCTGACCACGATCCGCCTGCCTCAGCCTCCCAAAGTGCTGGGATTACAGGCGTGAGCCACCTCACCTGGCCAATTTGTGGTAATGTTTGTTAACCCACTTATCTGAAAATAATGCTTCTTCTGAATTCTTGCTTAAAATTGTTTCTGTTAAAATTTTACACTTTTATTCTTTGTCTTCTTGTTTCCAGTGTTGTCAATGACAACACTGTGGTCCATCTGATTATAATTTTTTGCATGTAATCTTTTATCCTCCAATTTTCTCTGGAAGCTGTTTAGTATTTTGTCTACATGTTTGTTCTGTTTTTTAATGTAGAATTTGTTTTTGCTATTATTTTTCTTACTTTGCTTCTAAAATGCAGGCCCTTTTGGATATAAATCATATGTTTTTGATGTCTGTGAAATTTTCCTTTTTGTTTCCTTGAACATTCCTTTTCCCATATTATCTGTATTCTCTCCTTTTGTAAATCTTATCAGGTGGATGCTGTAACTTTTAGAGCATCACAAAGTGGTTACTAACAGCCTAAACACCTCTTGCAGACATAGCTTGCCTAGCCTGTACAATGTTTTGAAAATAATTATTCAGATATATTACAATTGGTAGATTTTATCTAAAAATATAGATTGCTTACTTTTTTTGCAAAGTGGAAGAGTTGGTAAACTGAACTTGCATTTATGAATGAAAACAATTGTCAGAAAGTAAGTAGTTGCTTCTGCTTTTAGATGGGATATACGTGCTCCAGATTGCCACTGTCCTTTGTGTGCCCTTTGGTCTTCCTGACCCTAAACCCAAGTATCGGTTGCTATGCATCATCATGCTTGCGCTATTTTTTTTTCCAGTTGGAGACAGACATCCTTCAATTGTGTATCTTTCAACGTGTTCACAAGAAAGAGAAAAAGCACAATTTGTTTCCAAAAAGAACAATTATTTCTTAAACTATTTTTTTTTACATATTTATACTGTTAACAAAATGTTGGAAGGTGCCTATACACATACACACACACACACACACACACACTAAAAACAAAGCTTATCATGAATCTATGGAAAGATTCGTGATAAAAATCTTAATGAACTAAAATATGAACTAAAATTTCCACAGGCTTAATTTTTGAATACATATAAAATAAGTTATGTTGTTATAATATGTTACTATGAATTCGTTACAAAATTGCCCAGATGGCATTTTTATTACAGATGGTAGTTTTATAAAAGAGTATCCATTGGAGGCAATAGAAATTATATGTCCTCAACAGAAACAAACATTGAAAATGTAACTAACACTGGAGATTTGGCTAAGAATTTACAGGCTGTGCTGGGAGAAAAAAATAAGTCATTTGTGGCATTGTGTTTTGTAGCTGATGATAACACAGCTATAAATAATGCCAACTATTTATTTATTTATTTTTATTTTTATTTATTTATTCATTTATTTATTTTTTCGAGACGGAGTCTCACTCTGTCACCCAGGCTGGAGTGCAATGACGTGGTCCTGGCGTACTGCAGCCTCTGCCTCCTGGTTCAAGTGATTCTCCTGCCTCAGTCTCCCAAGTAGCTGGGACTACAGGCTCATGCCACCACACCTGGCTAATTTTTGTATTTTTAGTAGAGCCGGGGTTTTGCCATGTTGGCCAGGCTGGTCTCAAACTCCTGACCTCATGATCCGCCCGCCTTGGCCTCCCAAAGTGCTGGGATTACAGGCATGAGCCACCACGCCTGGCCAATGCCAACCATTTAAATGTATCTACTTATCATCACTGACATTTTTTGTATGTTTAAATAATATTTGGAGATGGTAGCCATGACAGGCCCCAAATTACTTAATCTTTAGCGTTGAGAAAACTTTAAAGCAAATTGATCAAAATTAACTAGTGTATTTATAGATAATACTTAACTGGTGATCAATGTTAGACTTTTTAAAAAGATAACATTTTGCAGATATGGAATTTATGTTTTTACGTTACATTATTTTCCAGAAATAGTTTTGTCAAAAAAAGTTTGAGAACAGAACATATAATAAACTGAAATTCTTCTTAAAATTTTAAAAGTCTTTATATTTCAGAGTAAATCCAAGTCCTTCCCATGACTTACACACAACAAAGTCAATGCCATTCAGCCCCCACCCCCAACAGACTACTTTGACCTCATCTTCTAATGCTCTCCCCTTTGCTTTATCCATTTTGGACATTTTACGGGCCACATGTACAACAGCTCTGTGCCTTAGAGCCATTGTACTTGCTCTTCCCTCTGCTTTCAAAATTCTCTCACAAAGAGTTGAAGGACTGGATCTTTCACTCCATTTGGATATTTCCCAGTTTATTTCTCAGTGGTGTCTTCTCTAGCCAGCGTATTTAACACAGAATCCCCCATCCCTGCCACCTGCTAAACCACACCTTATATTGATTTTCTGCTTTTCTTTTTCTTCACAGCTATACATCTTATTGTCCATATAAATTATTTTCTGCCCCCATCCTCCCAACACACTCAAACCCACATATATGCTTGGAAAGTAAATTCCATGAGGACAGGGCATATTGTTTTTGTATTCTGTTTCATTTGTTTGTTTGTTTTATTTTCAATCCCAGAGTTTTGAAAAGTGTCTCTAACATCAAAGGTTCTCAATAACTATTTGTTGGATGACTAAATGAACGAAGAGAATTTGGTATGTTTTTAGATCTAAAACCTTAGTCTGCTCAAGGTTTTGCTGAGCTGACGAGACACACAATAAGAAATTATTTAGCTTGGCAAGGATATAGAGTTAAAGAAAATTTTATGCTGTTGAAAGAAATCAACATATTCATATCATCCACAGCAAAATTCTTACCCCAGATCACCCAGCAAATGTTGAATTACGTAACTGACCTTTTGGTTGACATTATCCCACATAGTTAAAATATTCTTCCAAATATAATTTCTCTGCAAGTGTGTGCACATGCATTCATATAAGTGTATAAATCAATTTGATTGCCCTGGCAAATAAATATACAGTCATGTGTCACTTATGGTGCAGATACATTTGGAGAAATCTATCATTAGGTGATTTTGTCCTTGTACAAACATTATAGGGTGTTACTTACATACACCTAGAAGGTGTAGCCTACTACACATCTAGACTATATGGTATAGCCCATGGCTTCTAGGCTATAAACCTGTACAGCATGTTACTGTACTGAATACTGTAGGCAATTGTAACACAATGGTAAGTATTTGTATATCTAAAAACATCTAACCATAAAAAGGAACAGTAAAAATGTGGTATAAAAGATAAAAAATGATACACCTGTATAGGGCACTTACCATGAAGGGTACTTGCAGGACAGGAAGTTGGTTTGGGTGACTGAGTGATGTGTGAACATGAAGGCCAAGGACATTACTATACATGAGTGTAGACTTTATAAACACTGTACATTTAGGCTATATTAAATTAATTCAAAATATTTTTTTCTTTAAAATAAATTAATCTTAGCTTATTGTACTCTTTCACTTTATAAACTTTTATTTTTTAAACTCTTTTGTAATACCATTTGGCTTAAAATATAAATACATTTATACAGTTGTACAAAAAGGTATTCCTTATATTTTATTCTATAAGCTTTTTTCATTTTTAACTTTTTTTTTACACTTCTTTTGTTAAAAACTGAGGTAAAAACACACACATTAGATTCTACACAGGGTCAGGATCATCAATATCACTGTCTTCCACATCCACCTCTTGTCCCCCTGGAAGGTCTCCAGGAACAAGAACATGCATGGGGCTGTCATCTCCTATGATAACGGTGCCTTCTTCTGAAATGTCTCCTGAAGGACCTGCGTGAGGCTGTTTTATACTTAAATTTTTATAGCAAGATGAAGCAGTATGCTCCAAAATAATGATAAAAAGTTTAGTAAATACGGAAACCAATAACAATCATTTGTTATCATTATCAAGTATTATGTACTGTACTTAACCATACGTGTTATACTTTTATACAACTGGCAGCACATAGGTTTGTTTAGACCAGCATCACTATGAACATGCAAATAATGTGTTGCCCTACATTGTTATAACTACTACATTACTAGATGATAGGAATTTTTCAGCTCCATTATAATCTTATGGGAATACCACTGTATGTGTGATCTGTCGTTGACTTGAAATAATGTTATGTGGTATGTGCCCTTATACGGGAAACTCATTTGGCTCATTTGTCTATGCTGACATTTTTTTCTTAAATGAACATGATTTCCTAAAATATTTTTCCTGTAATGTACTGTAAATACTGAATTCAAAAATGTGTTTCTGATATAAACCATTACGTAGTGGAACTATTATTGAGTTTGCCTTTCTCCATCAAACCTGATAGTGGCAACAAAGATTTAGGAAAAGATGTTATTGAATTACAGTGCATATGGTAATGTAAAACAAATATGACAACAACAGAATACCAGCATTTTACCAATATCTTAGAATTACTTTAAGATATTGCAAAGATTCTGTTCAGGTTTTTGATAATGAATGATATGAAATATTGCTCCTAGGTAAGAGTATAAGCCCAAATTCTCTATTACATATGTATTTTCCAAAAACCAAAATTCATTATCGAAATTTTGGGGCGGAGGAAAACATTCCGGCTCTCCTGTTCTGTACAGAGGGAGTAACACAGTACAAAAATATATATTAATGTATATTTAATGTCTGTGTTTTCAATGACAGGTTTAATTAGTAACTTAAGTCCTATATGCTTCTGTTATGAAACATACTTACAAATAAGATAGCCCAGTTTATTTTATTTTATTTTATTACTTCCTAATTGCTAAAGGCATTAAGGCTAGCTTCCCTAAGCTGAGGTGTGGGGAGTGTGCATTGGACTGAATCTTCCTAAATTACATAACGTGGAGAGCTTTTGCTGTGGGGACAAATGACTCTGAGACTTTCTAGTTCTTCGCAAAAAGATTCCGTGATTTCACTGGAGAAAAACTCTACAGGTTTTCTTTTTGGTTGTTTTTTTGTTTTCTTTTGTTTTGCTTTCAAAATTTTCCCTGTATGGTTGAAAGAGATGAAATTCTGTGCACAGGGGATCCTTTTTATTTTGTGCAAGTTTTTTCTTTTTGTACTTTGTTTTTTAGCTTCTTGACACTGTTCTTTGACTTCATTTTTTTCCCTGCCTTTCTGATAGGTTTACAGTTATATTATCCTATTTTAAGTCTAGTCATTTGATTTTTATCTATTTTTCTCATCCTCTTTACTCTTAATTTTTTAAATAAATTGATCTGGAGATATCTTGAAAGATACAATTATACTTGATATATTTGTTTAAAGTAACTATTTTTCTAAGTGACTTTTAACAAATCATTTGATACTTAAGATAAAAATTCTCATTCCTTTATATATTAAACTTTAACATATACCTTACATTTGTTTCCTATTATAATTGATTTCTTCATTCATCTGAATTTTTATCACATAAAATATCATTAAATCTTCTAAATATATGGAATATTTGACAATGGTGTTTATTATTTTATTCTTAAATTAGTTTCATAGCCATTTTAATGTATTCATTCTTCCTTATGGTATTTTAAATCACTTGATCAATTTGAGAATATCTCCTTCGAGATTTTGCTGGAAATTTCATTGTCCATATATTAGGAAAAAATTCTGCTATTATAATATTTATATTTCACTTTAGAACTATATACCTTTCTTTTATTTACATTTTCTTTCATTCCACAGTAAAGAGTTCACGGCATTCTTTAAGCAACTCTTACACATTTCTAATTGTTAGCCTGATTTAATTCCATACATATAAATTATATATGTGTGTATATACACACACACACACACACACACACACACACACAAACAATTTTCCTTAAAATGTAAAATGTAAAAATTTGCCAAGATACTTCCATTTTCTTTTTCTTTTTTAATTATACTTTAAGTTCTAGGGTACATGCGCACAATGTGCAGGTTTGTTACACATGTATACATGTGCCATGTTGGTGTGCTGCACCCATTAACTCGTCATTTACATTAGGTATATCTCCTAATGCTTTCCCTCCCCCCTCCCCCGACCCCACGATAGGCCCTGGTGTGTGATGTTCCCCTTCCTGTGTCCAAGTGTTCATTTATTTTAGATCTTATGAACTATTTTCGAGCTGCATGTTTAGTTCATGTTTTTAAATTGTGATAGATTTTATTTCCCATAAATTTGCTTATAGATTTAGCTTAATTTATTGGGATTTTTTTTTTCTGCTAGAATCTCTATATTTGAAAAAGAAAAAATTCTTCTCCTTTCTCTATATCTGTTAAATCTTCTTAGCATTGCCATATCTTTGTTCTTTTATTTTTTTTCTTCTGAAATTTGAAAGAACATTGATGCTGGTCATTTTACGACATTAAAAAATTAAAAGTTAATTTTCTGGGTAATGCCTGATCTTTAAATTATTTTTACAGTAGGTTTTAATTAACCTACTAGATTTTCATGATCTTAAAATTATTTTTTATCTTGCTATTTTATTTTACCTTTCACATTAGCTAACTGCCTTCATCTGGACTACTTATAATATTTTAATATTGGCTTATAATTGCATTTATTTCTGACTTGTTTGAAGACTTGAGGCAGATATTTGAAAAATATTCATTTCTTATGCTAATTTTCAAGAGATTAGTTCTCATCTGGAATAATAATGCTACTTTTTTTTGCACTACGCTCTTTAATAGTTTCCAGACTAGTTTAATTATTCATATGTGAAAGAAGATAAGTGTTATATCGAGCATTTGTTAAAAATAGGTTGCTATAATTGTTTTTAGAGCCTCTTCATGTACTTGGGTGATGATAGACTCTTACCATGGCAAAGTGAGTTTAGATGTGTGTAGCGTACAGTTCAGTGTAAAGATGTGTATAGTGTATAGTTCAGTTTCTGGTAACTGTAGGCTTTCATGTTACATTGTTCTGCTGAAGTAATATTTTTTTTCTCTTTCTTGCTTACATTAAAAAAAGTTTCTGAGAATTAATTCTCAAGAAAGGCAAGCAGAGTTTTTTATTTCTCTCTAGATGTGGAACCAGATTAAAGCAAATTTTGCAGTGCAAAATTGAAGGGGTGCCAAAAAACAGGAATCAAGACAAATTTTATAGGTAAATGTAAATATGTAAATAACATATATATGTGAATACATTGAATTATGTTTAAGTGGTGTGATATATTTTAAAATATTTTAAAAATTAAATTGTCAAGTAATGGCCATGTGTGACTCCTGCTTTTACAAATAACATTTTATTTGAACAAGAACTGGGATTAGGGTGTGGCAGGTGAGTCAGGGTCATAAAATGAGGGTCACATCCTGGCTTTATTTACAATTTTGATATTCTTCTCATCATGAATTTTTTGCATTTAAAAAATATTACTAAAATATTCTCTCTTTATTACTGAGCTTTATATGCCCCCCCTTAAATTTTGTGCTCAGGGTGAGTGCCTAATTCACCTAACCCTTGTTCCAGCTCCACTCTTAAGAATTTTATTCCTAATACATATATCTGGGTTCTGCCTTCAGCTGAATATTTAAATAAAGCTATCCAGCAGATCCTATCACTTCTTCCCATTCCTCTCTCCAGTCCCACCCCCACCCCAACCCCATCTCCACTGAGAATGGCTGAATAAAATAATTTTCATTCTTGAGAATCTACAAAGTGTTTAGTCCTTCTACAGGAACTCCATGAAGTGTTTTCTTGGTTTCTTTTCATAAGGTACACATTCTTTTAGTGAGCACTGCCATATGCTATATTAATTTCTCTGTTTCTGCCTGATGCATGAGCAAATATCTAAAATCATATAAAAGGGAAACTGATAGAGTAGCTACGTATATTAGTCTGTTTGGACTTCTATAAGAACATAACAGACTGGGTGGCCTGAGATGGCTTAAAGGACTGTTAAGCAATAGACATTTATTTCTTACAGTTATAGAGGCTAAGAAGTCCTACATAAACTTGCCAGCTGATTCAGTTCCTGCTGAGGGCCCTCTTCCTGGCTCACAGATAGCTGCCTTCTTGCTGTGTTCTCACATGGCTGAGAGAAAGCTCTGGTTTCTCTTCCTTTTCTTATAAGGTCACTAATCCCACCATGGGGGCCCCACCCTCATGACCTCATCTAAAACTAATTACCTCCCACAGGTCCCATCTCCAAATGCCATTATATTGGGGTCAGGGCTTAAATATGTACATTTTCAGAGGACACAATTCATATTAGTATGTGACTGGTGGCTTTAAAATGTGATTCTTAGAGTCTAGCCTGGTGATGATTATGGAATAAACTTTATTTTCGGTGTATACCCTAAACATTTAAGATAGACGGAGATTGTCCTAGTTTTTTCTTGCCTCCTGATTATTTCATTCCTTTTTATTAGGGGAAAACTGCAACCTGGCTTGGCTACTTAATCTAACGTTATAAGTACTAGTTAGTTGAGTTTACTTCTTTGGCAAAAGGTTGACTGGTATTCTTACTCAAAGGTGCTATTGCAGCATTTGACTTTTGTTGGTTAAATCTTCAGAGAAAATGTATCAGAATCTGGCACGTGTCACCTTGTTGCCACTTTGTTTTTTTTTTTTTTTTTGATACGGAGTCTCGCTCTGTCGCCCAGGCTGGAGTGCAGTGGCGGGATCTCGGCTCACTGCAAGCTCCGCCTCCCGGGTTCACGCCATTCTCCTGCCTCAGCCTCCCAAGTAGCTGGGACTACAGGCGCCCGCCACTACGCCCGGCTAATTTTTTGTATTTTTAGTAGAGACGGGGTTTCACCGTTTTAGCCGGGATGGTCTCGATCTCCTGACCTCGTGATCCGCCCGCCTCGGCCTCCCAAAGTGCTGGGATTACAGGCGTGAGCCACCGCGCCCGGCCTACCTTGTTGCCACTTTTACCTGAAAGGATAATTTTTATCTATTTATTATATGTTACTTCCCAGAGCTATTCATTTGCTTACTCTCTTTCTTCTTTCATGGCACATATGGAAAGTTTTGACTATATATCTCAAATTTCAGTCTTAATTACTCAATGAATGTTTTGGTCAATTTCTTGACAATGAAGGATTAGAGAATCTTAGAGTATCACTCAATTTTAACATTAGTTTACCATTACAGTCTTCTTTCTATGTATTATTACTATTGCAAGTGAGGATCTCAATCATATCATAATTTTCGTATTTGTAAAATTGGAAACAGTTATAATGAAGAATATTGTCTGATCTCTAGTGATAGCGCAACATTGTTCCACCTGTGTGACCTAGAGTAACCCACTGAGCCACTTTCACCCTCAGGTTATGCACATGTGTGGTGAGGATGCTCTCATTGCTCTATATGCCAAATAATGTTTGATGGTTTCATAGTGAAGCAACAGGACTTCCAATTCAAAATAATTTTTGGAATATAGTTTTTAATACACTACCATTCCCAACTTCTCAAAAAATGGTTTTTGAAGATGTATTAAACGATAAAATTTCTAAATAGCATAAAATTTAAAGGTAATATAATTGCTAAGGAAAAAATAACATAATTAGGAAATACATTTTTGGATTGAGAAAATCATTCCCAAACTTTAGTTCAATCTTACTTCCTATTTCAGAAAAAGTAGACTAAAACTTTCAGTCTCCTACAAAATCAGTCCCCCAATTCAAAGATGCATAAATTCTACAAAATTGAAGACAAAAAGTGTCATTATCGACCCTTTGTATATTGATCTGTGTGGTGTCATACTATTTCTATCTGTTATTCTCCATCATATTTTTATTTTACAGACTTTAGTGAGTTTAGATGAGTTTTAGTTTCATAGCAAAATTGCAAAGAAGAAATAGACATTTCCCATATCCCCCTTACCTTCACACATGCACAGTCTCCCTTATTATCAATATCCCCCACCAGAATGGCACATTTTTTACATTTTAGGGACCTACATTGACACATCATGATCACCCAAAGTCCATAATTTACATAAGGTTCACTCTTGGTGTTGTACACTCCATGGTTTTGGACAAATGTAAAATGGATTGTATCACAATATATAAATTTATGGGCTCTGACAAATGTACAATAACATGTATCCATTATTATAATGTACAGAATAATTTCACTGCCATAAAACATTTTTTATGCTTCATCTACTCATTCCTTCATTGCTCATAATCTCTGGCAACCACTGATCTTTTTATTGTCTCCATAGTTTTGCCTTTTCCAGAATGTTTTATAGTTGGAATCCTACAATATGTGGCTTTTCATATTAGCTTCTTTTGCTTAGTAACATGTATTGAAGTTTCCTCTAAAAGTCTTTTCAGGGTTTGATAGCTCATTTCTTTTTAGTGCTGAATAATATTCCATTGTCATGGAGTAACACAGTTTATTTATCCATTCACCCACTAAAGGACATCTTGGTTAGCAATTATGAATAAAGCTGATATAAACATCCATGTGCAGTTTCTGTGTGGACATAAGGTGGATATCAAGTAGTGCGAGTGTTGAATTGTATGGTAAGAGTATGTTTAGTCTTGTAAGAAACTGCCAAACTGCTTTCCAGCACCACCGTACAATTTTGCATTCCCACCAGCAATGCATAAAGGTTCCTGTTACTCCACATCCTTGCCAGAATTTTGTGTCACTGTTCTGAATTTTTGTTATTCTAATAGGTGTGTAGTGGCTTGCATCATATTTTAATACTTAAGCAGGAACTGAAGCGCCCAGGAAACCGTAGACTGTAAGAAATAACAGATTTACAGGGGTTCAATAAATTGAGGAAACCATAATTTCACAAGTGAAGTGTTACAAATGAACAGCAAAAAATTTCACAGCAATACTTATTTTGAATAACAGCATAAACGATCTTATCTAATATAACTGGACCCACTAATTAGTTTGCAATTTTTTTGTTTGCATAAAACAGTAAAGGTACATAGACATAAATTGTAATTTAAGTATTTCATTGTAATTAATTATAAAATAAAACATATACATAAATATACATTTAATAAGATTAAATTTTCTCTTGTTTAAAAGACAAATGATTTTCACATCATAGGTCCTTCACTTATTTATCATAATATTAGTGACTGCAGATTTAATCCTTTCTAAATGTAACAATAAAATATGTGGAGGACATCTTCGACTTCTAAAAATTCAATTTTTAAAATTCTGGACTTGATTCTGCTTTCATTATAATAATCAATATACCAAACTTTTCTTGGAAAAGTGATTTTATGCTAATGCCACAGTATAAACAATGTCTTTACTGGAGAAGAATTTTGATTACGTTCAGATCTAGATATTGGTCTTAAATTTATCTTTCCCAAAACATAAGTCAAACTTCTGTCTAAGTTACTTCTTTAAGTATTCTAACATTTCTTCAATTAGACTGCATGAGGGGTTATAAATAAGTCCTTTATTTTGCTGTCTTTATAATCCTCAAAATTGGTCTGGAAGCCATATTATCTAGGTTTAAAGTTTTTTCAGTTAAGAATTCCATTGTGTTTTTATTTATCATGCATTTTCAGAAAAATGAAACTTTAAATCAGAGTCAATTCATGTAAGTTTTTATGACTCTTAATATACTTGTATAGAATAATTTGTATCTTATTACATTTTATAATTTTTTGAATAGCCAATAATAAGAGGCAACAGCTTTTGAAGTTCAGTTGTATTGTCCTAGGCAACTAGTGTGGTTTTTTCATTAATGTTTTTCCTATCTTGTTATGTATGTTCTACTTTTTGCGGGGACCAAATTATAAATATAACTTGTAGCTATTTTATTTATATAGCAGAGATGCTCTGAAGTCAATATTTTCTTGGTAAAATTTTAAAATAATATTATAAATTTTGAGCGACAGGTTTATTAGTGGATAATTTGGCCACTGTCATGCTCAGTATATAAATATTGTAAGGATTTTTCTCCCTAAATTCAAACCGTCTATCATTTGCTGTAATTTTTTTGTGTTTCAAGTCTTTTCATGGAGGAAAGAAGCCTTTCTTAGTATTGGTCTTCAAAGTAGAATTTAACTTCTTTTTTTTTTTTTTTTCATAAACCACCCCATAACACAACCTTTAGCATTTCCAATTTTATTTCTTTTTGGGGGAACGATTACTTTGAAGTCAGAATTTTCAACTGCTGAGATGTTTTTTCCCGGTGATTTTGTAGTTGAGCACCCATATCTAATTCAGTAGCAAGAAGAATAGTCTTTAAAGAAAAATATCTCTACAGGAAACTAAAAGAAGAATATCTAGAAAAATGTAGCTATGTAACTGTTAAAATGAGCTTTTGCTCATTATTAAGTTAGCTAACTTCCTTAATGGTATTTAAGAAGATTTAGATATTTAGATATTAAGAACGTAAATCCTAAGAACAAAAATAACTTGGAGAAAGGGTAAAGTGCTCATATAAAGTGAAGCTCAATTTGAAAAAATAGTTGGAAACAAACAAAAAAACCATAGTAGTAAAGGCAGTCAATATGAAACCTAAGACTCTCAAAAAGTTGGAATGTGAATATAGAAGATGCATTTGTGAAATGTTCCTGAAAAAGAATGTGGAAAGAAGATTAGGTATATGATAAACAGAGAAGAGAGATACTATATTGACAATAACTTTTTCTGAAAGGAGAGACCAGCACAGATGAAACAGATGGGATAATTTAATACATATTGAGTGGAAATATTCTAAACTAAAGAATAAAATGCTATGTATGCAAATTGAAAAGTTTACAACTATATACTAGGAAAAATCAATGTCAAGTCCCAAAATGGAGATTTTACATTACAGTGGACCAAGCAAATATTACATGATACCAACAAAGGCAGAAGAAAAACCCTATCTTTAGACTTCTTCATTATTAGAAGATGTTTTGAAACATGAGATTAAGGAGAGGGATTAAAATTGGCCAGCTAAGAAAACTTCCTATAAATCTATAGTAATTTAAAAATCATGGAAGAAAATCAGCCCCAAAGTCTATTAGCCCATTCACATAAATACATGCATTTAGTAAACAATAAATATGATCTCTCAAATCCCTAGAAAAGATGTCGGAATAACTGATTAACCAAAATGAGTACTAGAAGAAAACAGAATTTATAATTTCGTAAACTTGGATTATGGAAGGATTTGAAGTTACAAATAATTCCACAAGAAACTATAAAAAGCTATATAATCTACTATGTTGAATATAGTAAAACTTCCTAGAAGGTAAAAGAAAATATAAAGAAACAACTAAAAATATAGTACATATGCCAAGCAGAAAGGCAATAATGAAAATTACATATAAATCAATATGTAAAAGACAAATGCTCTAATAGAGAAAGATGAAAGGATATGAACAGTCAGTATACACCTATATTAAGTCAAAACATGTACAAATTTCAATCTAATTGCTAAATATATAAAACTAAAAATTATAGCTTAGGATTTTGTTGACATCAGCAACATGGTGATATAGGAGGCCCTGGGCTTCACTCCCCCACATAGAAAGATCAGCTAGCTACTATCCACGGACAAAAATACTTTGGTGAAAACCCTCAAATGTGGGAAGAAGTCTGAGTGGCCTGCATGTTCCACAGAACTGAATAAAAATTAACATTGAAAGGATGGACAAATGGCCTTGCTTTGACCATATTGCCCCTTCCCCTACCTCAAGTCGGCACAGCACCACAAAGAAGATTCCTTAGGGCCCACAGTTTCTACAGTGGGAAAAGAGGAACAGGAAGGTGGACTTCCAGCTTCCCTAGAATTCCAAGATGCTTCACAGCTTACTCTGTTGTCATCTCACAAAGAATGTAGGAATGCAGGGCTAGACTGCCTAGTGGGGGTGGGGATGGGGCGGTTAGACAGAAACAAAGCAAGAAGGCAGAGCCTATAGTGACCCTTGCACAGATTTTGGTGATAGCTCCTTATCCCTGCCAGCGGTGATGCATGATCACAGGTACCAGCTAACAGCATACCTCCCCAACAAAGCTGAGCTAGCTGTTTCCAGCAGAGGTGGGAAGAGTTAATTGCCTTGCATCCCTAGATGACCAGCTTCCAGGCCCAGCCTCAGACACTAACCTAGAGCCCTGCTCAGGGAAGGAGAAGACCCCACAGTGAACTTTCACAAAAAGAAGGCAGAACACCTAGGCCAATGGAACAGGACAGAAAACCTAAAAATGAACCCACGCATCTATGGTCAATTGATTTTCAACAGAGGAGCTATGAATATACAGAGAGAAAGGATTTTTTTTTTTCAATAAATAGTGTTGGGAAAACTGGATATTCATATGCAAAATAATAAAATTGGACCCTTATCTCACACCATATGCAAAAATCAACTCAAAATGTATTTAAGACTGGAATATGATATCTAAAACTGTAAAACTGTTAGAAGGAAACCTAGGAGAAAATCTACACAACAATGGCCTGGGCAATGAATTTTAGATGTGACCCCAAAAATGCCGGCAACAAAATTAAAAAATAGACAAATGAGATTACATCAAAATTGGAAGCTTCACTACACAGCAAAAGAAACAATTAACAGAGTGAAGCGATAACCTATGGATTTAGGAAAATATAATTGTAAGCCATATATGTCTGATAAGAGATTAAATCCAAAATAAATAAGGAGCTCAAACATCTCTAGAAAAAGAAAACCAATAATCCAATTAAGAAATGACCTGACATAAGAAGAGACCTGAACAGACATTTCTCAAAGAAGAAATATGAATGGCTAACAGATACATGAAAAAATGGTCAATATCACTAATCATTAGAGAGATGCAAATTAAAGCCACAATAAGATATTGCCTCATACCTGTTAGAATGGCTATTATCAAAAAGACAATAAGAAAACAAATGTTGGTGAGGATGTAGAGAAAAGGAAACACTTTACACTGTTAGTGGAAATGTAAATTAATACAGTAATTATGGAAAACAGCATGGAGCTTCCTCAAAAAACTAAAAAAAGAAATTCTATATGATCCTGCAATCCCACTTCTAGATATTTAACCAAAAGATTTGAAATCAGTATGTCAGAGATATCTGCACTCTCATGTTCATTGAAGCAGTATTCACAATAGCTAAGTTATAGATTCAACCTAAGTGTCTGTCAACAGATGAATGGATAAAGAAAATGTGAGGTATATTAACAATGAAAGGTTATTCAGCCTTTAAAAATAGAGAAATTCTATTACTTGGGACAACATGGATGGAATTGGGGAGCATTATCCTAAATGAAATAAGCTGAACACATAAAGACAGATACCACATGTTCTCACTTATATGTGGAATCTAAAACATTTAAATTCACAGAAGCAGAGAGTGGTATGGTAGGAATATTATCAGAGGCTGGGGAAAGAGAGGGGATGGAGAGATAGTATGAGTACAAAGCCTAAATTAGGAGGGATAAGTTTGATTATTTTTTTGAGATCTGTTGCAGAGAGTGATGAATATAGCTAAAATTAGTACTATACATTTTAATATCTCTAAGAGTAAATTAGAAATGTTCTCATCACAAAAAATGTAAAATATTTGAGGTGATTCATATATTAATTGGTTTGATTAAATCATTCCACATGGTATTAAAAATCATAACATCACTTTGTACTCCTTAAATGTCTAAAACTATAATGTAATACATAATTTTAAAAAACAAACAAAAAACACAATAGTTTCCACTTTCTGCCTATATGGAAGTACCCAATGTTTCTGAGGCTTTTTGCCAGTATGAACTTTTATACTTTCTTTGGATCTTTGAATGAGCACAAAATTTTTGGATGATTGGTAGTAAGTGTTATTAGATTTACAAGTACACTTTGGCCCAGTGAATCTAATTCCAGGAATTTGCTTTAAGGAAACATTTTAATAAGAGTACAATGTTACATATTTAAGAATATTTATTGTAGCATTGCTAGAGATAGCAATCTATATAGTTCTATAGTTCTAGTTAAATATACCATGAGATTACCTTCAAGTGAAATATTATCCAACTATTTAAAATGTCAATTTGAATGTATGTTTTTTGATATGGGAAGATGATTACAAGACAACTTTTAATGTAACAAAAAATGTGCAAATCTCTATAAAATTTAACTTCATTTTTGAACAGTATTATATGTGTCTAAATGCATAGAAAAACTTACAAAGTAAAAACAATAGCATTTTCAGTAAGATTTTACTTTTAATTTTTACTTTTATATTTTTTCATATTGCTTCCATATTTTTCTACTGAAATATGCATTTTTTTGAACACGTATTATTTGTACAACCAAAAAATTGAAAGGATTTTCAAAATGTTAAATTATAAGACAAATGTGAATGGATCATAACATTCACATGGGAAAGGTTTTTCCCAAATTTAGGATGTAACTCTAGAATTGAGCAGCAATAGCTGTGACATTTTCAGAAGCTCAGAAATCTGAGCTGGCCCCCAATAAAGAACACCATCTGGCTATGGCTTTGTTAGAGGTTTTCTTTTCGATTACATTTTCTGTCATTTTTGCATAAAAATGCTTCTCTCAGTGCATTTCAAGCACGTGTTTGGAAGGTTCTATGTTGGGTTGCATTCAGCCCATTTAGCCGTATTGTGCAGGCATTTAGTAGTAAGCTTTAGGCACTTAGGCAGGTGTGTTTTTGACTTAAATACTAAAAGAGATGAGGTGATATGAACAGGGCAGGCAGCTTGATTGTCATGACCTAAGGCCTGGAACACATCCCTGGAAACAGACAGAATACTGCTGAACATGAGGAAGTGTCTTTTTTACTCTCTTTCTTTGGCTTGCTGATTGCCTGTGTGAATGTGCAATCAGGTATTTCAATTCCTATTCTGCAGGTCTGGTTTGGCTTTTGTAAGACAGCTTTAAGATATAATATTTTGGCCATATATGTCTGAATTCATTGCTGAGCTAACAATATATAAATGTGGGTTTTTTTTCTTTCGGCATTTGACATTTCGCATTACTCATTAAGAGAACTGATATAAGGCAGAGGTCGTTTATAATAGCAGAAAACAATTTCTGCTATTATAAAGAGCAGAATTTCTGCCAAAATTCTAGTAAGACTGCCACCCATTTTGAAATAGGAAAGCATTCATTTTACAGCACACGAGTAAGTGATGAATATATGCAGGACTTTTCCACACCAAAATGCTTTATGTGGAAGCTGTTACTTTGAAATTCAGCTGCTGTGAGACTTTCCTCCACTTTTTGGATTGAACGAATATGACACACTTTCACAGAATTCACTCTAGGAATGTTAATAGTCTTTCTATGTGACCATTATGTGCTTTCTAATGCTTTTCTGTAACAATGTCATCAGGAACCTCTATTTTCCTACCTTACATATTTCAGTCAGTAGTGCAACAATCTGTTGCTCAAAAGTTGTCATAATAACTTCCTACATTAATATCCTGGTTAAGCATTTATACAAGCATCAATAATTACTATAGCTAAGGCCAAATACTTGCTGATTGACACGATGGTATTTAATTAGAGTCAACTGGGTCAGCAGGGTACTTAATAGCACCAGTTACCCATCATCATCATCCTTATGCTTGGAATGAGAAAAAAAAGTGATTCGAAAGAGAGAAGTAAGGGGTAGTTTAAGGGGAATCTGGCAGAAATCTTAAAAAATACATTTTGAAAAGGAATTTGAAGGCAGCACATTTTGCTCAGATTCGTCATAGTCAAAGAGTCAAAGAGTTTTTATGGAAAACCTTCAAGTGGAATGGGCATTTGTGCGGTGTGGTGTTCTACTTTGCGTTAGATGTTGTGGCCTTTGTAAATCCATTACTGGCATCAAATGGCAGAAAAATGTCTGTCTCACATTGTGTAGAGGAAAAATTATTAGTGAAACATTTTGATATTACTTTAGGGTGCATTTGCAAGAGGAAAGCAAATAATCTTAGTTTTAGCTGTGCTTTATTGAGCAGAGCAGAGGGTGAAATCATTGGCATGGTGGTTTACTGGGCTTACGGGAAAAAGGGAAAATGTGTTGCAGGCGTAGCATAGGCAGTATATTTGTCATCACTCTTTCTTCCTATTTCCCACTAACAACTATTCAGAAGCAAAGATAATAGAAATGGAATTTGGACCTTGAAAGATGACTAACTGTAGAACTCACAGTTTATGTCCAATGGAAATCACAGGACTTGGTAGGCCTGCTTGCAAATTGTAAGGCTACTTCTAAGCATTGTGGAATGAAACAGGCAGGAAAGGTGACACTGGCTACAATTTAAGGTTTTCTCTAGTTATGCCTACACATATGGTGTGGTTGATTCCATGGCAAATTTACAGGTAGTATTTTATTATGATTTTCTAGAATTCATATTTTTTAAATACCTCTTTTTATTCTCCATCCAAACACCTCTTTTTGATTTAGTTGCCCTGCTATTTATGTACAAGAAACAACTGACAAGAGACATGGAAAGCTGTCATTTTGGAGTACAGAAAAGGGATGTTAATAGAATCTTCTTTCCTGTCATTTTATTTGTTTCTTAATTAAATGTGTGTGTATGTGCACATGTGTGTATAGATATATGATTGCTTTGTAATTCAAAGGTAAGAGTGTGAAGGGCAAAAATACTTTTATTCTTCTAGATTTCATCTGGGCATGCGTATTTTTATACAACAAATGCCCACAAAAGTCTAACAAACTTAGTGTCTTAAAACAAAACACGTTTATTATGTCCCGATTCTGTAGGTCTGTAGTCCTGGAATGACAAGACTGGATCCTCTGCCCAGAGTCTCACAAGGCTGAAATTAAACAGCTGGTAAAGCCGTATTCTTTTTTGGAGCTCAGGGTTCTCTTCCACATTCACGTGGGCTTGGCAGAATTTAGTTCCTTGCAGTTGTAGGGTTGTAGGTTCCCACTGTTCTTGTTGGCTGTTGGCCAGGGGCTGCTTTCAGCTCCTAGAAGCCACACAATTCCCTAATCTTTGGCCTCTCCACATCACAGGACTTCTTGTCTTCAAGGCCAACAGGAAAATCTCATTCATGCTTTCAATGGCTCCATTTTTAAAGGTTCCTGTCTGATTAAGTCAGGCCAACCTAGATGATAGTATTTTGATAAAATCAGAATCAAATGGTTTGCTGCCTTACTCTGCAAAATCTCTTTGCCATATAATATGTCGCAATCGTGCCCATTCTCAACAGGAGGAAATTACACAGAATGTGTATACCAGGGGGATGTGAATCTTAGGAGCCACCTTAGAATTCTGCCTATTATAGCATGGTTTTTAAAACTCCACAAAAATCTAGGATGGGAAGACTAGAGAAGGAGCTGTGAGTCTGTATGTCCAGATTTAGTGGATTTTATTAAAATAAATCAACACCAAAAAGAAAGCTTTGGGGTCCAAGTAATTTTTTGACAGGTTGTCAGTGAGAACTGTACAATTCATGAAAACAGACAGAAATTTCAGGATTAGATAGGAAGCAAAAGCAATCAATCAAACAAACAAACAAAATATATTCTAGAGTTGTTTAAAACAATATATTCAATCTACCCTGGCATAAAAAAACCTGCTATATTTTAAAATGGTTATCTTTTTACTTTTTTCATTTTAAACCATCAGACATTATTTGATTAATAACTATAATGACCAGCTTGTTCTCTTTTTAAACATATCATGATAAACTTATCACATGATATCTTGTATTCACAGGGAAGACAAACATTTTAATGATAGTGTTGAAAAGATTAGACATACATACCCAAAAATGACATTGCCCAATTTGTATTTCAAGTAACTTGTCTACACAGAAAAGATGGGAACAGAGGTGGGGTGGGAGCTATATGAAAGGAAGAATTTGCAAATTTAATTGATTTTTTTCTCTTGTTGTATGTAGAGCAAGTTGGCATTCACTTAATAATTATACTTTCTTCTTTCAACAGTAAGTCACCTTGCAGTCCATTATTCTGTAGTTTAAATAATTCCAATTCAATTAAGCTCCCTCTGTAACGCCTGTTGTCCAACTATTTAATAGCTTTCATTTCTTCTCCTCTAAATTTAAGTTTTTCTAGATGACTTTAAAACATTAGAATGTCAGCATTACGGTATAGTCTATTAGACATATGGAAGTTTTGTAATGCATTGATAATTATGAATTGTAGATTACATATGTATTCTTATTGTTAATCTAAAAATGAAAAGGTAGGCCTTGGATAAGAATATGACCACTTAATCTCACTCTTTCATTTTTGAATTTCCACTGGAAATATCTCGAGGCATATAATTGAATACATGTCTAGTAGGAAGGTCATTTCACATACTGTGGAAGAAGTAGCTGAGAAATTACCTTGGAATTATTCACTGCATTAGTGAGAGACTCTTGATGTTAAAGTGGTCTTCTGGGATCTCTTCAAGTCACTGTATTATTCTTTATTTCATGAGATCCTGCTAGATTACTTAATAAACATCATTACTTTTGTGCACTCAAAGATTTATGGAAAATGTTAATGCAGATTCCAAAATTGAGAGATATATTCACAGAGAGTAGCTAATGTACAGATAGTTTATGGTACTACTGAATTGAAACATTCACTAATTCATTTTCTTTTAAAAAAAGCCTACATTGCATGGTTTTTGACATTACTCTACATGGTTATTAGTATGTTTGCATGATGGATATTAGGTTCCATTAAGAAACAATGCTCTGTCTACATTAAAATTTTTTTAAAAAGTAGCAGGAAGCCAGCTTGTGTTTCAAATCAAGAATAAGACACTCAGAAATAAATTTATGTATAAATTATATCGCAAATAAGAGAATAACCATTGGCTGAATGTTTATAATGGTGTGAGGAATGCAGATCTGAAAATAACAGTTTTTTTGGCAAGGTATGAAGTATCCCAATCTAAGTAAGAAAAGAAATCCAAAATGAGTCTAATTGTACTTTGTGTGAGCAGAGATTGACAGACTAGCTTCACCTAGATTCTAAAATGTGATAAATAAAAACCCTTGATGAAAGGCTTAGTCAGGGACTAGTGGAAGAGCCCTGCTGCAGAATTTGAGTTTTAATGACAAATACATAATGTAGAGTTGAATAAAAGGGTTTTTATCTGGCCATGTCTGAATTTAGGAGGCTGTCTTTTTCATGCAAGAGCCAAATTACATTGAAAATGGCCCAGTAAAGCATCTTTGTTGGCAAGGTAAAAAATCCTACAATACATTCCTCTTAAATGATTTTGAGGTGATAGTCACCTTTTAAGGATAAATAGTGTTTGCGTGCAAGGTAAAAAGCGATGGTAAGAGAAAAGACTTCCAGGTGTAGAAACCAAGGATTTTACTTCTCCCAAATGGGAGAAAAATATTTATGATTGTTCTGCAAATAGACACAGAAGTTGCATCTCACTTTTTCATAACACTAACTTGAGGAATATAGAGTAGTTTTTAAGTTTTATGTATATAAACATTAGACTTCTGAAATCATCGTGGACTTATTTAGCCCTTTAATATCTATTGATTGCTTGCATGTAAAAGAAACTATAGCAGATCATTTATTTAAGATAAATTTCAGGTACTTAGATTTAATTTGACATACTTACTTAGAATATAGTTAGGCATACTTAGAACATACTTACTGTGAATATAACACTTACTGGGTTTGTTGACAAAAGAGCTCACAGAATATGTCTCACTCAGTAAACACCAAGATGCTGAAGAGAGTAGAAAATAAAACCAAAAGTGAAATAAATTTGGAAATGTAGTGACGCTGAACTGTGCTTATGAAATATTACATGGAGAACATTTCCATAGAGATACCAATTTTGAAATGCATTGTGTTTTCATTAATTGTTCAATATGTACACTGTAATTTCCTGTTGGTGTGAGTAGTACATAATATGGAATTTTAAATTTCTAAATGCAATTATCAATGACTACTGTATCATATCATGTTATGAAAATGTTATAAGTTCACTTATGATGTACCAATATTCTTCTTATATGTACAGAATGCTGAAAAGCTTCAAAAATAATACGTGTAAAAGAATTGTTTACTTGTTAAAATAAGAGGCAAAGCCATAAACTTGCAATAGATAAGGAGATGATAAATATTAAATAATAATTGGGGGAGCAAAAAAGAGTTTAGATCGGAAGGTGTTTGGCATCCTAAGTGAACAATTTTTCACAAGGGGGTCATTTTTGAAATTCCTTAGCTGCCTTTAGTTCACCCAAGCAGAGAATCTGCATGAATGTGAACTTTGAAACAACATAACATTTTAAAAGTTATATAATAAATTTTTTAAAATTTATTTTACTTAACATTATATTATGAAATGATGCTCTGTAGTTTATATTACTGTACTGTGGATCTTTATTGTAAGGACTTGTGTCTTCTGATTTTTGTATATCCTTACAACTAACAGGAAAATAGCTTGTACATGGTAATGATACGGGAGCAGGGAAGGGAAGTGCTGGGTAGAGAATGGCAGATCCCTGGTGAGGGCTCCATCCCCGGGCCTATGCTCAGGGACCTACATAAGGACAGGCATTTCTGTTTTCTTGCCCAAATGTTGCATTTCCCAAGACCGCCCTGGCCCACCACGCACCCCCATTGTGTGCCTATAAGAACCCCAAGACCCTAGTGGGCACGCACACAAGTGGCTGGACGTCAAGAGGAACACACCAGCGGAAGGAGACACAAGTGGGTGGATATTGAGAGAAATGCACCTCGTAAGAGCACACCGACAGATGCTGGTTGGCAGGCAGGCAATTGACTAGCGGAAGAACGTGGAGTTTGGCTGGGGCCGTGGGAAGAGAGCCCAGCCCTTGAGCAGCCAGACTCCAGGGAAAAACCACCTTCCTATTCCATCTCCTTTCTGGCTCCCTCATCTGCTGAGAGGCACTTCCGCTCAGTAAAACCTTGCATTCATTCCGCAAGCCCATGTGTGATTCGATTCTTCCAGTATACCAACGCAAGAAACCCTGGGATACAGAAAGCCCTCTGTCCTTGTGGTAAGGCAGGGGGTCTAATTGAGCTGACTAACCCAAACAGCCTAAAAAGTGCAAAACTAAAAGAGCGCCCTGTAACACACGCCCTCTGGGGCTCAGGAGCTGTAAACATTCACCCCTAGATGCTACCATGGGGTCTGAGCCCCACACCCTGCTTGTCTGCATGCGCCCCCTAGGGGTTTGAGCAGTGGGGCATTGAAGAAGCCACACCCCCGTCGCATGCCCTGCAAGAAGGACAAGGGAACTTTTTTCCATTTCGTAACATTTAAGTAAACAAATTGATTAAATAAAACGTTGATTTTCATAGTAGGTCCACAGTTATATATTTATTTATTTTATTATTATTATTTTTTTGAGCCAGGGCCTCACTCTGTCACCAGGGTGGCGCGTGGTGCCCAATCTTGGCTCACTGCAGCCTCAAACTCCTGTGCTCAGGTGATCCTCCCACCTCAACCTCCCATGTAGCTGGGACCACAGGCATGTGCCACCACACTAGGCTAATTTTTTGTATACATAGGGTTTTGTCATGTTGCCCAGGCTAGTCTTGAACTCTCCCACCTAGGCCTCCCAACATGCTGGGACTACAGACGTGAGCCACTGTGCCCAGCCAAATGCTACATTTAAAAACAAATACAATTGAGTTGTGGTGGCTCACTCCTGAAATTCCAGAACTTTGGGAGGCAGAAGTGGGCTGATGGCTTGAGGCCAGGAGTTCCAGACCAGCCTGGGCAACATGATGAAACCCCATGTCTACCAAAAGATACAAAAATTAGCCAGGCTTGGTGGTGCGTGGCTGTGGTCCCAGCTACTCAGCAAGAGGATTGCATGAACCTAGGAGGTAAAGGGATCGCATGAACCTAGGAGGTAAAGGGTGCAGTAAGCTGAGATTGCACCACTGCTCTCCAGCCTGGGTAACAGATTGAGACCCTATTTCAAAAACTAAACTAAACAAACAAAAAACAAGTACAAGGCTTTTTGGAGGAATGACTGGGCAGTTAATATACAAGATGAGACTTGAGCATCTTATACTGTCAGAAAGTAAGAAAGTAAAAAGCAGCGAACCAATAATTAGGTGGATATGCTAAAAGAATGCAAGAACTAACAGAAAGAGCTCCAAATGGCCAAAGCTGGAACAATTTCAGCAAAAAATGAGTAGTATTGGGTTAAAGGCCCAAATACAAGATAAATATCCATGAGGTCATATGAATATAGATAAATGATTAAATAAACAAGTAAATGAGAGAGAAGAGACAAATCCCTCTTGCAGAAAAATTTCAAATAGTTTATGTAGATACTTTGCTCTCAGGAAGGGAGTGTATAATTCCTTGATTTTTAAGTGTGGGCTGTACATTGTGACTTCCTTCCAAAAAGTACAGTGTTTGAAAATGAAGAAAAATAAGAGTAATTTTACAGTGCAGGAACTTGACAAACCCAATTTCAGCCAAGTGATTAAGATCAACAACCACGCTGAAAAGTCATGCTGACAGTATGTACCCTTGTTACTATGGGATAAAAATAGTAATTTGCTAATGTAGTCTTTCCTACAAAACCTGTAACCCCAGTCTAATCATGAGTAAAATATCAGACAAATATCAACTGAGAGACATTTTATAAAATGCTTGACCAGTAATCCTCAAAGCTGTCAAGGTCACCGACAATAAAGTCTGAGAAACTGCCACAACCAAGAGAAGTGTAAAGAGGAATGATGACTAAATGTAATAAGGTATCTCAGATGCAATCCTGGAGCAAAAAAAAGACATGATATTGATCTGTGTGGTACATTTGAGGTTTGACTGCAAGAGGGATATTAGGCTCCATTAAAATAAAGCACTCTATCTACCTAAGTAGATGCCTAAGTATGTAGGTAACAACACAGCAACAAGCAAAAATTATATATAGCTAGGATCACTGTATTGCCAAAACCAGGCAAAGATACTTCATACAAAAACTACTGAAACCAATTTCCTTCATAAATATAGATGCAATAATTTGTATTAAAATACTAGCATATCAAAAAAATACAAAAAAGGATAATGTATTATGACCAAGTAATGTTTATTCCAGGAATGCAAAGTTGGTTCAACATTCAAATTTCTAATTCAAAATTCTAGTCAATTTAATTCACCACATCAAAAGACTAAACAAAGTAACATAATCATTTCAATGGAGGCAGAACATATATTGGACAGATTTCAACATTTATCTATAATAAAACCTCTTAACAAAATATGAATAACAATGTATTTTTTAAACTCGATCAAACTAACCTAACCAACATCATACTAAATGCTGAAAGTTGGATACTTTTTCCCAAAGTTCAAAATCCAGGCAATAATGTTCAATCTTATCAGGTGTAGTGAACATTTTACTGTAAGTTCCAGCCAGTGCAATAAGGTAAGGCAAGAAAATAAATAAATTAAATATAGATTGGAGATAACATGATAATGAAGAGTATCTGAAGCAATCTATAATAAAAGGTACTAGAACTAATGTGAGTTTGGTTACATCATATTTTTGTGATTAATGTATAAAAATCTATATTATTTACTGTATATAAATAGAAATTAAAATTGTGTCATTTACAATAAGATTGATAAGAAAGAAATACTTAGAGATGAACATAAACATGTTTAATACTGTACACTGAAACTACAAAATATTGCTAACAGAAAATTAAAGAAAACAAAATAGATATTTCATATTTATGGATTGGAACACTCAAAACTAGTAAGATGCAAATTGTCTTCCAAATTGATCCATAGATTTAAGCCATTCCTAGTAAAAATGCCAGCAGACTATTTTGTTAGAAATAGACAAGCTGAATTTACATGAAAATGCAAATAACCTAACATAGCCAAACCAACTTGGAAAAGAAGAACGTGTTTGGAAGACTTTCACAACCTGACTTCAAGACTAACTGTAACATGCATGATTTTTGTGTAAAGATAGACGTACACATCAATGAAATAGAATAAAGTTCAGGAAAAAGGCCAACAAACAAATGGTAATTGATTTTGGACAAAATGCCATGGTGATATACTAGGAAAAAGGTAGTCTTTTCCGCTGGGCGCAGTGGCTCACGCCTGTAATCCCAGCATTTTGGGAGGCCGAGGCGGGTGGATCACAAGGTCACAAGATCGAGACCATCCTGACTAACACGGTGAAATCCCGTCTTTAGTAGGGGTGCAAGGGATTATCTGGGCATGGTGGTGGGCACCTGTGGTCCCAGCTCCTTGGGAGGCTGAGGCAGGAGAATGGCCTGAACCCAGGAGGCAGAGCTTGTGGTGAGCTGAGATCATGCCACTACACTCCAACCTGGGCGACAGAGTGAGACTCTGTCTCAAAAAAAAAAAAAAAAAAAAAAAAAGTAGTCTTTTCAAGAAATGATGCTATAATACTTGAAACTCTGTTTATGATAAAAACAATTTTTTCACTTTTACCTCACTCCATATATAAAAGTCATCTTGAAATGAATCAGAGATGTAAATATAAGAGCTAATATTACAAAATTTCTTGGGGAAAAAACGAGCAAATCGTTGTGATTTTGTTTGAGGGAATGATTTTTTAATATACGGCACAGAAACATAAACCATAAACAAAAATAGTTAAATTGAAAGTCATTGAACTTAAAAAAAACTTTTCTTCTAAAGTCATGGCTAGAATAATGAACCTGTAATCACAGACTGGAAAAATATACTTGCATCACATTTATTTTATGAAGTACTTGTATCTGAAATATAAAGTGTATGGTAACTTATTAAGAAAAAGACAATGCAATTAAAAAGTCAGTATATTTAAACAGACTCTTCGTAAGAGATTATCAAGTGGAAAATCAGTAGATAAAAATGTGCTTAGCATCATTATTCACTGAGGAAATGTAAATAAGTCACACTGAGGTAACATAGATCCCTACTATACTAACCCAGTTTAAAAGACTGACAAGAATAGGTGTTAGTGAGATAGTGGGACAAGTGGAACTCTGAAATATTCCTCATATAAATGCAAAATGGTTCAGCTACTTTGGAAATAGGTTGGCAGGTTCCTATAGAGCTAACCAGACACTTTTCATATAATCTAGTCAATCTACTCTTGGTTATTATATTCAAGGAGACAGAAAACATATCCACACAAAGACTGAAACTGCATGAATTTTTATAGCAGTTTTATCCATAATATCAAAAACCTGGACACAACTGAAATGCCCATCAACTGATAAATGCAGAAATATTTACTGTATAGTGGGCATACAGTAAATAGAGATGCCAGGCTGTGTATTACAATTTCATTATTCTAACCATGACTTTAGAAGAAAAGTTTTTTTTTAAGTTGAATGAGTTCCAATTTATCTATTTCTGTTTATGGTTTGTGCTTCTGTTCCCTATATAAAAATATACCAAAATATATATGATAAAAAACTGGTATTCAGAAGGAACAAATTACTGATACACATGACAGCATGGATGAATCTCAAAAACTTTATGCTAAGTAAAATAATCCAATAATAATAGACTATATACTGTATGAGTCCAATTATATGAAATTTTAGAAAGGGTAAACCATTAAAACAGAAAGGAAATCAGTTGTTGCCAGGGTCCAGGGTTAATGGGTAAGGGATTGATGCAAATAGATGTAAGGAATATTCTGGAGGTCAGAGCATTTTAATATTTTTATTTGTCAAAATTTTTACAATTGATTCTTCAAGTAAGTAAATTATATGGAAACTATACCTCCTTAAACTGTCTAAAGTATAATTGAGACACCCACATGCAAGAAACTGAATGTACACATAGAACTCCCATTTTTCACAAAAAATAATTTAAAATGAATCATAGACCTAAATATATAATGAAAAATTAAAAACTAGAAAATCTAGATGATTTGAGTATAGCAATGGCTTTTTGAATGCAATATCAAAGATATGATTTATGAGATAAATAATGGATAATTTGGGCTTCAGTAAAATTAAAAAATTCTGCTCTTCAAAAGACAGTCAAAGGAATGAGAAGACAAGCCAGAGACTGAGGAAAAATATTTGCAAAAAATATATCTGATAAAACACTGTTATCCAAAATAGGCAAAGAGCTCTTAAAGCTCAACAGTATCAAAACAAACTATTAATACCTGATTTAAAAATGAGCAAAAAATTTGAACAGACACCTCATCAAAGATGACTTAGAGATGACAAATAAGCATATGAATAGACGTTCAACATCACATTTTATTAGGAAATTCCAAATTAAAGCAACAATAAGATGCTACTGCCTACCTATTAGAATGATCAAAATTGAAAACACTGAGGAGAACAAATGCTGACAAGGATGTAGGGCAACAAGAAGTCTCATTTACTGCTGTTGGAAATCCAAAATGATACAGCCACTTCGGAAGAGAGATCGGCAGTTTCTTACAAGACTAAACATAGTCTTAACATATGATCTAGCAATCATGATCCCTGGTATTTACCCAAAGGAGTTGAAAATTTGTGTTCACACAAAAACCTGCACATGGATATTTACAGGAGCTTTGTTCATAATTGCCAAAGCTTGAAAGCAACCAAGATGTCCTTCAGTAGGTGAATGAATAAATACACTGTGTTACATCCTGAAAAGGAAATAGTATTCAGTAATAATATTACTAAAAAGCAATGAGCTATGAAGCAATGAAAAGACATGGAGGAGCCTTAAATGCATATAACTAAGCAAAAGAAGGTAATATGAAATACCTACATATTGTATGATTCCAACTATATAACATTCTGGAAAATGCAAAACGACAGATACAATAAAAAGATCAGTGGTTACTAGGGATTAGGGGTGATGGACGGATGAATAGGTGGAGCACATAATTTTTTTATGGCCATGAAACTATTCTGTATATTATAATTATGGATCCATGTCATTATGCATTTTTCAAAACTCATAAATTGTATAACACCAAAAATAAGCCCTAATGTAAACTATGGATTTTGGGTAACAACATGTTCATGTAGGCTCATCAGTTGTAACATATGTACCACTCTGGTGGTGGATGTTGATAGCCAGGGAGGTTAAATATGTGTGGGAACAGGGAGTGTATGGGAATTTTCTATACTGTCTACTTAATTTTTCTATGTAATAAAAACTGCTCTAAAAATAAAGTCTATTAAGATAAGAAAATATATAATTGATTAAAAAAACTAGCAAAGTAACTTAGGCTTTATAATATTTGTGGAAGTAAAATATATGTCAATGATATCAAGAATGATACAAAGTGAGAGATGAAAATGAGAGATGTACCCTCATAAGGGTCCTTCAGTATGTATGAAGTAATATAATGTTACTTTAGGGCAGACTGTGATAGTTAAAGATGTATTTTAAATACCAAATAGTAGAGAAAAAAATGAAATATATAGCATAGGCAGTTAATCTATGAAAACTTAGTAAAAGAGGAAAAGAGAAAAAAACTACAGCAGAAATTGAGATCAAATGGCAAGATTGTAGATTCAATGCAAACACATGCACACACACAAACACACATATTAACATATGTATGTGTGTGTGTGTATATATATGCATATATACAGAAGTATAAAGGGCTAGGTAAAATATTTTAGAACCCAAAACACTAACCATAAAAAAGGTAATATAGATTTCATTAAAATTAAAATCTCTATTTTTTAAAAGGAAAGGACATGAACAGACATTTTTCAAAAGAAGACATACACGAGGCCAACAATCATATGAAAAAATCCTCAACATCATTGATCATTAGAGAAATGCAAATCAAAACCACAATGAGATATATCTCACACTAGTCAGAATGGCTGTTATTAAAAAGTCAAAAATAATTGATGCTGGTGAGATTGCAGAGAAAAAGAAACACTTATATACTGTTGGCAAGAGTGGAGATTAGTTCAACTATTGTGGAAGACGATGTGGCCATTCCTCAAACACCTAAAGATAGAAATACCATTTGATTCAGCAATCCCATTACTGGGTATATACCCAAAGGAATATAAATCATTCTATTATAAAGACACGTGCATGTGTATGTTCACTGAAGCACTATTCACAATAGCAAAGACATGGAATCAACCTAAATGCCCATCAATGATAGATTGGATAAACAAAGTGTTGTACATATACACCGTGGAATACTATGCAGCCACAAAAAGAATGAGATCATGTCTGCTGGGACATGGATGGACCTAGAGGCTATTACACTTAGCAAACTAACACAGGAACAGAAAACCAAATACTGCATCTTCTCACTTGTAAGTGGGAGCTAAATGATGAGAACACATGGACACGTAGGAACAACAGAAACTGGGGCCTATAGGAGGGTGGAGGGTGAAAGGAGGAAGAGGATCAGGAAAAATAACTAATAGGTAATAGGCTTAATACCTGGGTGATGAAATAATCTGTCCAACAAAACCCCATGACACACATTTACCTATGTAACAAACCTGCACAGATACCCCTGTATATTTTATTTTAAGATAACTTAAAAAAAAAGTTAAAAAACAAATTAGGCTACAGTATGAGAAAATACTTGCAACATTTTTTTGACAAAGGTTTTGTATGTGGTACATATAGATAACTCTTATAAATCAACCCGTTTTAATGAGTTTTGCCATTGTAATAAATGATGCTCATATTTCAATAGTTTAACACATTTTAAGTTAGTTTTTTGCTCATCTACTGTATCAGATACAGTCAATTCTCCAGAGAAACATAACCAATAGGAACTTGTATACATATATATGAATTTTTTAAATAAGGAATTGGCTCATGCAAGGATGAAGGCTGAGAAGTCCCAAGATGTGTAGTTGGCAAGCTGTAGACCCAAGAATAGCATAATTCCAGTTTGAGTCTGAAGGTATGAGACCCAGGAGAGTGAATAATGCAGTTGTAGTCTGAAGCCCTGCAGGCTTGAAACCCAGGAAGAGCTGATGCTTCAGTTCATGTCTAACAGCAGGGAAATGCCTGTGATCCACATAAAGGCAGTCAAGCAGGAGGAATTCCCTCTTACTCCTGAGAAAGTCAGTCTTTTTGTTCCATTCAGATGTTCAACTGATAGGATGAGGCCCACCCTCATTAGGGATGGCAATGTGCATTACTCAGTCTATGAATTCAGGTGTTAATCTCATTCAGACACACCCTCACAGACACACCCAGAGCAATGTTTGACCGAATGTCTGGGCACCCCATGGCCTTTTGCCCAGTTAAATTGACATATAAAACTAGACATTATGCACAGCCACAGCAGCTCTGCTTCTGTGTGTCCTTCTATTCTGGGTTCCAGGCTAAAGGCGCAGGCCCTTTCCAAGATTTGCTACTGCTAAGGCAGAGAGAAAAGGCAAGAGAATCAGAAAAACCATACCATCGCTGATAAAGCTTTTGCTCAGAAATTGAATACTGGCTACTCTTCCCAAATTTTATTTGCTAAAACAAATCACGTGACTACGCTGATGTAAATAGGTGGGAAAATAGAATTAAACCACAGAAATATACTACTAGTCACATGAAAATAAGTGCGCATAATCTTCCTAAGGGAGACAGCATAATTGGGAACTATAATTCATTCCATTACATTATCTTCAAGGACTAAGATTAAACTGTCCTATAATTTTCAGATTTAAAATAAAATCACCTTAACAGCCAGCAATCTTTATCCACTTTATTAATTTGGCAAAGACCTGAAATAATAAAAAGTACAATAAAATTGTCAAAAATCATTTATTGACAAAAAAATCATGGCAACATTTTGAACATACAATAGAATCAACAGATGCAAAATATGGTTCTTGAAATATTCTTTGTTGTAATTTTTATATGATTCATTAATACTACGTGAATGAAACATTGTACTACTTAGTTCTTTTACCACAATTGACACCTAGAAATGTCCTCCATTGGAAAATGTTACATGAGATCCACTTCTAAGGCATGTTGATTGAGTTAGCTTTGCATTTTAATATGTGAAGAGACAAGCTTTTTGTTTTCTTTCATTACTTTTCCCTTTTTTTTCTTTAGAGCAATGGAGTTCTTCAAACACTCAGACACACACACACCACACAGTTTTAGTAAAGTATGGTGTTGCATAACTTCAAATTTAAGTTTCCAGCTTCTTTTTCCCCTAAGTATGGCCCTGTGACTATGGAATGCAAGTAGAATAAATATGTACTATTGTCAACACACAGCCTTAAAATGAATGCTGATTTGCTTCTCTGTTTCTGCCTCCTTATTATCTAGAAAATGAAGATTATACTAGCCAAAGACATTAGACCTAGAAAGAAAAGGTGAGAAAGGCTCTTAATAAGGATGTCAGGGTCTTTATCCATGACCTGAGTTTCTGGACGTTCTTATGGAGCAGACTTGCCTTCCTAACCTGGACTGCTCTCTTCCTCCGGATTATTTTGTGAGAGAGTGAAGAAAAAAAAATACTATCTAATTTGAGCTTCTGTATTTTTGAGTTTCTTTTACAGCAGCTTAGCCTATGCCTAAGAAATACGTAGACAGATGTAGACTCCAGAGTTATGTGAGACTTAAAATTGGTTAAGTGAATAAAATCTACCAAATGATCAAGACTAGTATCAGTAGGTCTTGGCAATTGGCTGTTTATCTAACCTCTCCTACTAGATTTATTGGCTCTATATGCCTCTTAGTGGCCTCTGAGACGTCTAACCCAGGTCATAAAGTAATTATCCCAAACAGATTTAATCAAATACTCTCAAAATGAATAATTTTTTAAAGTCAAAGTTTAGATTCTTTAATTATAAAAGAGAAACTTGAGTTAATTCCTTCACCTTTTAGTCAAGACATCGGCAGTTCAGTTTGATCACATTTGACTCTTGACCCAAAACCTAATTTTCCTAGACTTTCTCATTATTGTGCATGTGTTATATTAGTTATTATTACTATGGGACCCTAGAGAAGTGGTTGAATGCATAGGGGTTCCTTAAAATAAGAAACATTCACTTGTTTGATTTCACAAAGCTCAGGGAATCTGATTTTATGATTTCCTGGGAAATGTCATCCATGATTTTTGAACAAAGCCAGTGTCCCAGCAATTCATTTTCTACCTTCCACGAAGATTAAACAATAGGAATTTCTGCCTTTGAATTATTAGAATTATTTGACTTATTTGTTTGTTATGCCAATTCTTCAGTATTTCTATAAACCCATTTATCAGTATATCGAAACCTCTTTCCCTTTTCTAACAACGGTAGGATTATTTTTAAGAATATTTGGGTCATATTTGGTTTCAAGAGAAAATATATTTGCTTTTCTCTCCAAACCAAGGGCTGCTATTGTCATCAACACAATGTAACATTGAAGCCATATCTCAGGTAAGACTCCTAAGAGAGAATTTAAAACCGGGGAAGGAGGGAAAAAAAGGAAAATGAAAGTGGTGTTTCATCATTTCCAAAGTTTCTTTGACCTTTGAGGGAAATGAATGGCACTGAAAGAAGTCGTAATAAACACTGGCTCCAGTGTTGTGACATTTCTATTACCTCATTGTTTGATAATTTCTTTCTACCCTGGTCAAATGATGTCTATAGTTTGCTTTTTCCATTTTTTACCTTATGATTTATTCAGTGTGATTGAAGACTCAGTCTGTTTACTGTAACTGTATTTTTATTATCCTTGTCTAAGGATGGCTTTATGATTATGAGTTCCCTCTGAGTCTGCTCTAAATTCTTTGTTGCTAGCATTCTACAGCATTACTTTAAGTCATAATGTCTTACAGTACACTGCTGAATATACTGTTGTACAAACAGTGCAGAAATTTATTTCTTTCTCTCCTCAGATTTTAATTCAGCAATCAACTGTCTTGGTGAGGAGTTTACTCAGTACAGGGCACAAAGGAGATAAGATCCCATAGTCAAATATGGCTGGTGAGAAACTTTCACGGAAACAGAAATATTACACATTCATAGCTTCTCTGCACAGTAAACTCCCAGAATTTTCATTTGTTTTGTAAATGTAAAGATAAACATGAAGGCTATCTTAAAATATATTGCACCATGGATACCATAATGGGATGTGAATATGGAGCTGTCAAGTTATGCTTATAAATAATGCTATTTCCTAGACAATTTTATTTTAGAGATTTGTACATATTTTTTCCTGAGTAAATATGTGGATCAGGCCAAGATATGTCAATATGTCAATAAAAGTGTTGCAGAAATGTCTTATGGATACGAATACATTATCTGATAAAAATTCATATGTAGCTGTTTGCTCATGGCTGAAGATATAGATAGGCCAAAGATCATTGAAGAGGAAACAAATCCTATGCATTTGGGTTCTTCAGCAGACTGTTCACATAGCTAATACACCAAAACAGCACAGAATAGTTTTTTTCTTAATCCACAATTGTGTTTATGATGAGCAAGAAGTATAATGGCCTTGCAGAGATAATTTTGACCTCAGCAGAACTGTGGTGTAAACCTATTTGTCATTTTGCTGGTACCGGGAAGAGTGTCCATTACCTCTCCCTGTCTTAAGTATATCTACAAAATTGGCATGTGCAGATAACTATTCCAAACAAGAATATCCTCATTCCTACACTTTGCTGGGAAGCTGCCTAGTACAGTCCTTAAGAACATATCCTCCGAGGTCATACAGCTTATTAGGATTTAAGTACTGGCTTTGCCAAATTTTCTGGCTATATGAGCTTAGGATTATTTTCAGAACAGAACAGGGATGATAATGGTACCTGCCTCACAAGTGTTGTAGTGATTCAAGAGATAAAATGTATTATGCATTTGGCACATATTGAAGGAGGAATGATGGTGCCTAGATTATGGTTGCTGTTGCCAGTGATGTTACATCTATAGTAGAGCAATACATTCCGGCTTCCCTTACACTATAGTATACATCCAGACCTGTTTTAAATACCATTGGCAGAATATTATCACTTTCTTTTTACATTTGGGAGTATTTGCTGTGCATATATCTAGTGTGGGCTCCCTCTGTTGGTTGGCCAAGAGACTGGTGGCCCTGTATTTATAAACCTTGAGGCCCATTTACCTTTCAGAATTGTTAGAATTAGGCATTAATGATTCACTGACTGAAAAGAAAAGAGAAAAAAGATTACTTTCTGAATCTTAGAAAAGGGCAATACCACTTAGTACGCATTATGTATCTAGGCATAGAGGAGGTGTTATTGTAAATAGTGAATATAACTGGATTTCCTACATCTAATTTGAAAATGGAATCTTTCAAACTATAATGTTGAATCAAAGCATTGTGCAGATTACTGAAATAAGCTATTAAAAATACCATAAAATGAAAACAACAAGTAATATGAAAAATTAAAATAATTGCTTATTTCATTTATATATTTTAAAAAGTGCAGAGCCTCCAAAGCAAGCAGAAAAGTCAGCCTCAGCAAGGACAAAATTAACTTCATAATAAGGTTTCATTTTTCACATCAGGCTGAAAGCTTCCAGATAAATCTAAGAAGAGTTTAAACTGTGATTTTATAACTATCAGAAGAAGTGGATAAAGTTACTTGAGAAAGTGTCTAGCTAGGATATTGGAGAGAAGCAGATTAATAATGTATGCTAACTGCTTTGTACTTAATTAGTGAGAAAACTGAAGTTTCAAGTTACTCTTATCTCATGAGAACATTGCTTTATCTAAACATAAGATGGTGTCAGTGCTTTACATTGTCAAAAATGTAGATACTTATCCACTTTTAGAAAAAAATTGTCTAGGTAATACAGGCACAGTGTATGAAATTTAAAATGTGCTAAAAAGTATCCAGTGCAATTCATATCTCTTCATAATTCCATCTACTCATTTCCTCCCAAAGGAAAACTGGTCTTAATTTTGCTCTATCTCGTTGAATACATTTTAGCTCTTCCTCTGGCATGATACCAGGCCATGGGTCCAAGACTTGTGGTTTCAGCTGTGCGATATTTGAAACTGGAATCAAGATTTTCTATCTCAACAACCAACATTGGGAAGTAGAGACCCTCCCCTGACATGACAGAGTTGTGTAAGACTTGCAGTTAACCAGAACAGATTGCCTTTTTACAGGGATATACTGTAGCCAATTGTCAGAGAAGCTTGGGTTTTCCAACTTCTTGGGAGGCCAACCTGCAAAGTATCAATCTTGAATCTTATCTCTCAGTCTTTGCTGTGAAATTAAATTTTAATATAATGCCTCTCATTCCATTTTCCATCTAGTGAGCTGCCAGTAACTATATCTTAAGCCTGAACTGAAATACCATGAACTGTACTTGATTTGTGATCAACTCAATATTAGGAATTATCCCTTCAAATATATTATTTTGGTAAATCATAGATTATGTCTATCAGATTATTTTCCATATATACTACCTACATCTACTTACACTTTATTAATTACACTGATCTGTCTATATACACTCCCTTGGTGATCTCATCCAGTTTCATGACTTTAAATTCCATCTAATATTATGCTTGATTAATCCATTTCAAAATGAGAATTACCTCTCTGATTCTGAAACTTGACTTATCCAGCTGGATTTTATCAGTGGAGGAGAGCTTTGTTGGCACTCCAAAGTAAACTCTAGAGGTCGCTATTTTTGCAAGTACATCAAGGACTAACTGTCTCTTTTTGAAGAAAATAATTTTTTCTGCTGGTATCATATTTGGGGTTAATGAATTCTTTCCACTTAATTATTTCAATAGATGTCATTATATTTATTTTTAAATCATCTCATTGATTTACAAACCATTCCTTTGTATTATGTTGACCTTAGATATAACATTCACGCATTCATGGATTCTGTGGCATCTACCCCAATGTTTGTTTTCTAAATGTAAGGATTCAGATCTTTCCATTTTCTTCTTATAAGATATACTGACTATTTTCCAGTCTCGTTCATCATATAGATGTCTTTATTAATCTTTATATAAGTTTTTTTTTTCATTTTGGAATGTAGTAGAGTTTCTTTGCCAGGCATAGGCTTTTGTTGTAATGATAAAAAAAAATAAAATATGTTTCCCTTCAGTTTGTATGATTGTTTTAATAATATCTAACAATTTGTACTTTTACTGGATCCAGCTGATTCCAGGAGAAAGATATATAACAAAGCTTCCTCAATAATTTCTTCTATTTTATATATATATATATATGTGTACATATATATATATATATATATATATATATATATATACACATATACATATGTTGATGAAAACGTTGTGTATGGCACATATACAGTCATGTTCCTCATATGATGTTTTGGCCAACCATGGACCACATATATGACTGTGGTCTCATAAGATTATAATACCATATCTTTACTGAACCTCTTTAATGTTTAGATATGTTTAGATACATAAATACTACTATGTGGCAATTGCCTGCAGTATTCAATACAGTAACATGCTGTATGGGTTTGTAGCCTAGGAGCAATAGGCTATACCATATAGCCCAGGTATGTAGTAAGTGAACTCATCTAGGTTTGTGTAAGTACACTATGATGTTCACCTAATGATGACATCATTTAACAATGTATTTATCAGAACATATCCCCATCATTAAAGAATGCATGGCTTTGTAAGTATACATTCATAAATATATGTGTGTATATACGTATGCTATGTATATCAGCTTCTTTGAGATATACTTCCTATACCATAATTAATCCACCTAAAATGTACAATTCTATGGTTTCTAGTATATTCATAGAGTTGTGCAACCATCACCAAAGTCAAATTTAAGAAAAATGGAGAACTCTTCAGAAGTCATTCCCCATTTTTTCTTAACCCCCAACTCCAAGTCCTAGGCAACCACAAATCTTCTTGCATCTCTAATTATTTCCCTATTCCAGACATTTCCTAAAAGTGAAATCATACGATATATAGTCTTTTGTGACTACCTTATTTCATTAACATAATGTTTGTAAGTTTCATTTATGTCTTAGTATGTACCATACTTCACACATTGTTATTGCTGAATAAAATTTCGTTGTATGAATATGCCACACTTTGTTTATCCATTCTCTGTTGATAAACCTTAGGTTTGTTTCCACATTTTCGATATTATGAATACCGCTTTTATGAATATTCATGTACAATTTTTGTGTGAACATAAATTTTTATTCCTCTTTGGAATATACCTAGAAGTGAAATCTTGAGGTCATATGGTAACTCTGCGTATAATCTTTTGAAAAATTGTCAGACTGTTTTCCAAAGTGGCTGCACTACGTTACATTCGCATCAAAAATGAGTATATGAGGATTCAAATTTCTCCACATTCTTTTCCACACTTTTTTATGTCCACACATAATTTTTTATTATCTCTTTGTTTTGATAAAAGCCATCCTAGTGGGTATGCAGTGACATCTTATTATGGTTTTGACTTATTGGATTGGTACAAAGACATTGCTGTTTTTGCCATTGAAAGTGTCCGATAATGTTGAACATCTTTTCATGTGCTTATCGGTCATTTGTATATCTTCCTTGGGGAAATGTCTATTTAAATACTTTTCCTATTTTAAAATTTGTTTATTTGTCTTTTTATTATTGAGTTTGAGATTTCTTTATACATTCTAGATATAATAATATTTACTTAAATTTTCTAAATACAAGTTTCTTATCTGATACATGACTTGAAAACATTTTTTCCATTTTGTGTATTGTCTTTTTATTTTCCTGATGCTATCCTTTGAAACACAGTTTTTAATTTTGAGAAGTCCAATTTATTTACTTTTTCATTTGTCACTTTTGGGTGTTTTATTAAGGTTTATGACTAACTAAAGGCCATAAAGATTTGCTCACATATACATACATATTTTAAGATTTCTTTACTTTTAGCTCTTGTGTTTAGGTCTAAAATTTATTTTGAGTTAATTTTTGTAGGTGATATGAGGAAGAGGTCCAATTTTATTTTTTTTGTATCTTTTTTTTTTTTCTTAATTAAGATGGCGTTTCGCTCTGTCACCTAGGCTGGAGTGCAGTGGAGTGATCTCAGCTCACTGCAACCTCCACCTCCAAGGTTCAAGTGATTCTCCTACCTCATCCTCTGGAGTAGCTGGGATTACAGGTGTGTGCCACTGCGCCCGGCTAATTTTGTATTTTAAGTAGAGATGGGGTTTCACCATATTGGCCAGGATGGTCTGGAACTCCTGACCTCCGGTGATCTGCCCGCCTTGGCATCCAAAGTGCTGGGATTACAGGCATCAGCCACTGCACCTGGCCTTTTTTGGTATCTTAATATGCAGTTGTCCCAGCACCATTTGTTGAAAAGCCTATTACCACTCCTCCGCTACCCCTCACTGAATTTTCTGGGGACTTGTTGAACATGAATTTACCATAAATTTGAGTGTTTGCTTCTGAACTCTAATTCTATTGAATTGACCTATATGTTTGTCTTTACATGTTACTTAGTGTAGCTTTGTAGTAAGTTTTAAAATGGGGAAAATGTAAATTGTCAAACTTTGTTCCTTTTTTTCAGTATTACTTTGGCGTTTCATGATCCTTTGAAATTTCATACGAATTTTTATGATCAGTTTTTCATTTCTGCAAGATCACCATTTGGATTTTCATAGGAATTGCATTGAATTTATATATCAATTTGGAAGGTAATGTCATCTTAATAATATTGGTAATGTCATCTTAATAATATGTCCTGATCCATAAACATGGGATTTCTTTCTTTTTATTTAGGTCTCCTTTAATTTATTCCGCAATATTCTGTAGTTTTCAAAGTATATGTCTTGTACTTCTTTTGCTAAATTGATTTTTAAGTATTTTTTTATGTTACTTTAAATTGTATTGTTTCTTGAATTTCATTTTTGGTGGGTACAATTAATTAATGTACATTGCTCTATACCCTGCAAAATTGCTGAATTTATCTCCAAAAATAGCTTTTAAATGGCTTCATTAGGATATTCTCTATATAAGATCATGTTACCTGAGAATAAAAATAGATTTACTTCTTCCCTTCCTGGTTAGATGATTTTTATTTTGTTTTCTTGAATAATTGCCCTGGCTAGAACCTCTAGCACAGTGCTGAGTAGAACTAACGAGAGCAGGCATCCTTGTTTCTGATCTTAGGGGACCAGCATTCAGTTTTTCACTATTGTGTATGGCATTCATGTGGGTTTTTGTAGATGCCTTTATCAGATAGAAGAAGTTATTTTCTATTGACTAATTTGATGTGGATTTTTATCATTAAATGATGTTGGATTTTATAAAATACTTTTGTTTGTATCTATTGAGATAATTATTTGGCTTTTGTCCTTTATTCTATTGATATGACATATCAATAGATATATAATCTTTTACTATGTGCATATATTATAATTATTAAATATTCATGATGGATTAAACATTTTTCAATAATAAATTCCTATTTTTCCTCTAGTATCTTTTTTGTTTGAAGTTTATTTTGTCTGACATTAGAGTAGCCATTTTAGCTTTCATAAAGTTTTCCGTTGCACGATATATTTTTCTCTTTCCTTTTATGTTCAATCTGTTTGTATCTTTGATTCTACAGTGTGTCTCCTGTAAGATAGAATAGTCAAATTCCATCTTTTTTTTTTTTTTTTTTTGAGACAGTCTCGCTTTGACGCCCAGGCTAGAGTGCAGTGGTGCTATCTCGGCTCACTGCAACATCCGCCTACCAGGTTCAAGCGATTCTCCTGTCTCAGCCTCCCGAGTAGCTGGGATTACAGGCACATGCCGCCACACCTGGCTAATTTTTTGTTTTAGTAGAGACGAGGTTTCACCATGTACCCCAGGCTGGTCTCGAACTCCTGAGCTCAGGCAATCCACCCACCTCCACCTCCCAAAGTGCTAGGATAACAGGCAAGAGCCACTGTGCCCGGCCAAATCCAATTTTTTAAATATCCAGTCTGACAGTCTCTGCTTTGGATTGGGTTGTTTAATCCACTAAAATGTAATTTTATTATCAATAGAGTTGAATTTATCTCCACCCATTACTCTTTGTTTTCTATATATCTCATTTTATTTTTCTTCTACTAATCATTCTTTATTTTTTTTGCATTGTGAATATTTTCTAGTGTAATGTTTTAATTAAGAATTTTCCCAACATTTTTGAGTAATTATTATTATCATTATTATTATTTTTGAGACGGAGTCTCGCTCTGTCGCCCAGGCTGGAGTGCAGTGGCGCAGTCTTGGCTCACTGCAAGCTCCGCCTCCTGGGTTCACGCCATTCTCCTGCGTCACCCTCCCAAGTAGCTGGGACTACAGGCGCCTGCCACCTCGCCCGGCTAATTTTTTGTATTTCTAGTAGAGACAGGGTTTCACCTTGTTAGCCAGGATGGTCTTGATCTCCTGACCTCGTGATCTGCCCGCCTCGACTTCCCAAAGTGCTGGATTACAGGCGTGAGCCACTGCGCCTGGCCATTTTTGAGTAATTATTATTATTGGTTGCTTTAAGATTTACCTTATATCTTTTAATTTAATTGAATCTACTTAAGATATATGCTAATTTAATTCCAGTAATATATAGAAACATTACTCTTATATAGCTGTATTTCTTCTTACCTTGTTTTGCGCTATTATAGTTACATATATTACATATATATTTTTTCACAAAGCATGATATTGTTATAACTATTACTTTATATAATTTATATGTTTATGTTCTGTGAGTCTTTACAGTGAAAAATTGAAACTGAGTGTACTTTTGAGAATCCCCCTATATTAGTTTGCTAGGGATGCCATAACAAAATATCACAGACTGAGTTGTTTAAACAAATGAAATTTATTTTCTCACAGTTCTGGAACCTGGAAGTTCAAGATCAAGGTGACAAAGGTGTTTTCTCTCCTGAGGCTTCTCTCCTTGGCTTGCAGATGGCCATCTTCTTGCTGTGACCTCACACAGCATTTTCTCTCTGATTGTACTTCCCTGGTGTCTCTTCCTTTTCATATAAGGGCACCAGTCATATTGGATTAGGAACCCCTATGACCTCATTTAACCTTAATTACCTCCATAAAGGACCTATCTCCAAAGACAGTCACATTGGTGGTTAGGACTACAACATATAAATTTTGGAGGAGCACAGTTCAGTACATAACACCCCAAACTTAGTGTTAGTGTCATAAGTGAGGATAGTCTTGTGTAAACTCTTCTTTCTAACTTTAGGCTTAGACCCTAACTCTTTGCAGAAGGGGTCAGAGGTTTGGGGAAGATTTGACAGCCTGGCAGACTGTGCCCTTAATCTTGTAGTTTGGTTAATTCCCAGGTTGTATCAAGTCCAGCTATTAGGCTCCTCTAATTGCTGGCTGGTTGCTCTATTCTTTCTGATAATGCCTTGGGGCATAGATTGCTTTGTAGTCTGATCAAATTAAATTTGGGCTCCTTTGCAGGGGTAGTTTTTGAGGTCAGTCTTTGTGTTTTGTTCTAATCCAAGGAGGGCTCTTCTTAGTTATCTCTTTTCCTGGTTTTCTTTAGTAAACTATTGGCCTACAGTTAAGTTTATTGCCTTCATGTGGCTGCCATCTTTCTCCTAATTGCTTACCACCAAAATCTCCACAGGACACCTTAGACTTAAACTTCTCCACACTTTGTTCCAAGTAAACTTAGTTACTTTGGAGAGAACTTAGAGTTCTTTGTTTTTATGGCCTGCCTGTACCCCTGGGCAAAATCTCTGAGTCACTATTTCAGAGCTGGGGGTGGGGAAAAAGGCTCACTGCTTTGGGAGTGACACTTCTGCTTTATGACAGAGGCATTAGTTCCTAGTCTTCTTGGCTGCATCTCTCTGTGTGGGTCTTCTATTCTGCAAGTAAGTTGAGCCAGAACAGTCAGAGCTCCAGTATTCTCAGTGTGCTGTGCCTGGAGAAGACCCCTCACCCCACAAGTGGGGACTGTGTTGAAGAAAGGAACCCTCAATTTCTCAGATAAACTTAGCTGAATTTATTCTCCACAACAGTAGAGGTTGGGATAATATGGGGCAGGCGGGTGGTGGGGAGGGCAAGGAAGTGCTGGGTAAAGAAAGGCGCAGTCCACAGCCAGGGTTCCACCCTCGGGCCTGTGCCCACAGACCTAAGTGAGGACAGGCACTCCTTTTTTCACACCCAAATGTGGCATTTTCCCAGACCACTCTGGCCCACCACACCCTCCATCCTGTTTCTATGCAAACCCCAAGACCCTAGTGGACACACACAGGTGGCTGGATGTCAAGAAGAACAGAAGAGTGGAAGAGCACACCGACAGGCACCAGCAGATGCCAACAGGCCATTCACAGTGAATGGACATCAAATTTGGCTGGGGGTGGTAGGAGGAGAGTCCGGTGCTGGGCGGCCTGACTCCAGGGGAAGATCACCTTCCCACTCCATCCTTCTGACCTCCCCATCCACCTCGCTGAGAGCTACCGCCATTCATTAAAACTTTGCACCCATCCTCCAAGCCCACATGTGATCTGATTTTTCTGGTACACCAAGGCAAAAACCTGGTATACAGAAAGTCCTCTGTCCTTCTGATAAGACAGAGGGTCTAATTGAGCTGATTAACATAAGCCACCTGCAGACGGCAAAACTGAAAGAGCACTGTGTAACACATGCCCACTGGGGCTTCCAGAGCTGTGAACATTCACCCCTAGGTGCTCCTGTGGGTTCAGAGCCTGAAAACGCTCCCCATGACCTGCTAGTCTGCATGCTCCCTCTAGGGGTTTGAGCAGAGGGGCACTGAAGAAGTGAGTCACACCCCTGTCACAAGCCCTATGGGGGGATAAAGGAATTCCTCCCGTTTCAGGGAGAGAGATAAGCAATGCTGGTAGTGTGCCCCTTTCTGGTGGCACTGTAGTAGTTTTGGCTGAGGGCTGGTGAGAGAGTGAACTCCATCTTCTTGGCCATACCAACCCAGAGTGGAGCTTGCATCATGCTGAGGTTGTATTGGCAGGAAGGAGTAGGTCATGGCTTCACTGCTGCAGACTCTTGATGTTCTTGTTCACATTTAGTCAATTTTCTTGAATAAATGATTTTGTATTTGCTATTTTCCCTTAGAACAATTTCTAGTCTTTAAATGATTGCTATAATTGCTCTTTTGTTGTTGTTATTTTTATTTTGAATGATTTTTCAACAGTTACGATTGTTTTGCTGAGGAGTGGGTCTATGGAGCTCCTCACACAGCTATTTCAGAATGTAAGGATATTGGTACTTTAGGCTTCAGGGCAACCTGGCAGGTATGTGGTGGGTGGTGATATTTGACCTGTCGTTTCTAGCTCATATTATTTTTATCCCAGTGTCTAAGCAAATATTATCAGTTTCTATGGATGTCCTAAGAAAAAGCCTAGGGAGAACTGAATTATGACTATTCCCAAATATCTTTCAGGTGTTGTAAATGATATTGGAGAAACATTTATTTTTTCAGCTATTGCTAGTATTTGCTTTCCTTATATAACTCAAAATTCTATCATTTGGGATTTACTTGTCTTTTTGTGTTGCTCTTTTCCATAACATTTAATTTAAATTGCTTTGTCCTTAATCCCTCATATTGGAAAAATCATAGTCTTTTCCTTCCATCATCCTGATGTCCTTGAAATGCCTGGAAGTCTATCTAAACTTTTCTAATAGATTCCATTTTTTATTTCAGTTTTTTTTTTTTGCTTCAACTGATTTTCTTTCTTCTTATTTTAATTTTTTCTTCTGTCTATTGTTTACACTGCTTTTCCTATTTTGGAGATTGTTCTTATTTTTCATCACATTATTTTTAACCCAAAGCTATTAATGTGTGTGTTACATTAGAAAATGTCTCCTTCCTGCCACCAAGATATCCACATTCTAACTACTGACACGTATGGATGTGTTACCTTACATGGTAAAAGCCACTTTGCATAAGTCATTAAATTAAGAAGCTGGGGATGAGGAAAATATGTTAGGTTATCAGGGTGGGTCCAGTGTAATCACAAGAGTCCTGGTAAGAGAGGCGGAATGATTAGAATTAGTAGTAGGAAAGGCAATATGACGATGGAAGCAGAGATTGGGAGAATGCAACTACAAGTGAAAGAATGCAGCCGGAGGTGGTGGCTCACACCTGTAATACCAGCACTTAGGAGGCCAAGGCGGAGGAATCACATGCAGTCAGGAGTTCGAGACCAGCCTGGCCAACAAGGTGAAACCCTGTCTGTACTAAAAATACAAAAAATTAGCCGGGCGTGGTGGCGCACACCTGTAATCCCAGCTATTCAATAGGCTGAGGCAGGAGAATTGCTTGAACCTGAGAGGTGGACATTGCAGTGAGGTGAGATAGCGCCATTGCACTCCAGACTGGGCAACAAGAGTGAAACTCTGTCTAAAAAAAAAAAAAGAAAAGAAAAGAAAAGAGAAGAAAGAATGCCAGTAGCGTCTAGAAAAAGTAGAAGCAAGAAGAAATCTTTCCCTAGAACTTCCAGAAAAAGGTAGCCTTGCTGACAACCACCATTTGAGCCCCACAACACTTGTATCAGACATTTAACTTCCATAACTGTAAGACAATAATTTGTGTTTTTTAATCCACTAAATTTGTGGTAATTTGTTAGAACAGCAAAAAGAAAATGTAGCGCAGTAGGTTTTCCTGCTGGTCTGAGTTATGGGTCATTGGAGCATCTCATAGTTCAGGCAGCAATGTACATTTGAATGTCATTAGACATCTCTTTCCTCAAGTTGATTGCTGTCCCCCCAAAATATTGATATCCTTGCTCTAAGACCTTCTACTTGATACTTTCCAGGCTTTACTTTATTTTGAGAGACTTTTCTATCCATGCCTCATTCTTTTTCTAGTTCTTCTCCTAACTACTAGAGGAAATGCCTAAAGTCTTGATAATCTTTAATTCAGGCTAATTTAGCAATGTATTTGAAATACAATCCACTTACATTGTGCATTCTAAGCCATCAGTAGCCATCCACCATTAAGATTATATTTATCCCCTCACAGGTAAAGGCACAGATGCCTTCTTAATTTTTTACTGCAAAGATCAAGCTTTTATTTCCAATAAAATATAAATAAATTACTATTTCCTTTCTGTTATTAAAACTCACTTGCCTCATTTCTGCTCACTTTTTCAGATGTCTAATGTCTTTTTCTTCTTTTTTTTTTTTTCTTTTTTTTGAGACGGAGTCTTGCTCTGTCACCCAAGCTAGAGTACAGTGGCACAATCTTGGCTCACTGCAACCTCTGCCTCCCAGGTTCAAGTGCATCTCCTGCCTCAGCCTCCCGAGTAGCTGGAACCGCAGGCGCCCACCACCATGTCCAGCAAATTTTTGTATTTTTAGTGGAGACAAGGTTTCACCATATTGGCCAAGCTGGTCTGGAACTTCTGACCTTGTGATCCACCCACCTCGGCCTCCCAAAGTGCTGGGATTACAGGCGTGAGCCACCGCACCCGGCCTGTCTAATGTCTTTTTCACAATCTATTTTGTAAGATTTTTAGTGTGAGTTTCTTCAATGAGAATTTTAATCATTCATATTTTATTCTTTATCTTTAAACCTTGGTAGTCTATGCATCATTCTAATAATCCTTTTACATTAACAGGCACAATTTTTATAAAAAATTATAGTTTAATTATTCAATTAAAATTATTTATTAATTTTGAACTTATACTATGTACACACCCTTGTATAAGTGGTTTACCCACGTCTTATCATTTAATGGTCAAAAAATAATTTATTAGGTAGATATCATTTTTTCCCATTTTATTGGTGGGTAAAATATCAGCTTTTCTAAAATAGAATAATTTTTCTCCATAAAGCTTCTATTATATAATTTTTAGGCCATAATTAATATATTTATTACCTTTTGGTTCTAAAGAAGATGAGAAAAACAAATATACATTATTCATTATGTCCTATTTCTCTTTTATTTCATCTTCTACCTCAAGTCTTTTAAATTTTATTAAACAATTGTAATTGCCTGAGGCAGCTTGAAATATGTAAAATAAACAATGTGAATATGTAAACTAATACAAATTTGCTTCAGTTTTCTGGGTGGAGTAAATTTTTCTTTCAAGAAAGATACCTATTCCAACTGAATTTACTCTGTAGAGTACTTTAGTAGTGATTAGGAAAGCCTCTGAAGTTTTCCTACCTCAAATATAATATAAAATAACAAATATAATCCCTAGAAGTGCTGCAGGCCAAGCAATAGGAATACATTTCTAACGTTAATTTGAGGTAAGACAAAACACAAGTGTACATGAATTCCCAAAGCCTAGTTATAGGTATTAGTTACTCAATGTTTTCAAAAAAGTTAATGGTATAGAAACAAATTTTTTTTACTCTGAAGGCTGCTAATGGTTACAATTAGATTTTGCAATAGACAGGTGGAGCAAAGAGATGAAATCATTTGTGTGTGTGTGTGTGTGTGTGTGTGTGTGTGTGTGCGCGCTCATATTAGCACTGTGAATTTTTAAGCAGGCAAATGCCCATTATTCTCTTAACTAAATGCTTCTTCACAGAGAGAAAATGTATAGATATACCGTTCACATTGATTAAACGAAGGTCAACAAATTCTAGAAAATAACACAGAAAAATGAAAACACAGTATGAATCAAATGGGAAAAAGTAACAATGTTTAATTTATTGACAAAAATATGGCCTATAAATCTGAAAATTTTCTATTTGAATTTCTATTAAATACATAATTTTAAGATTATAACCCAATAATTAATTTTTCTTGGTAATACTGACTAGCTTTATTAAATTGAAATTTGTCCTTGAGAAATTGGTCTAGGTCATGCTGTTTTTTATCTTAATATATCACTGCCAGGGATCTACAGTTAGCCTTAACTTTATATCCATTTGTCATTTGTTATCAGTGCCAAAACACTACATAATTTTTTAAAAAGATAGCATCGACTTTGGTGGACGTCTGCGTATTCTTGAAGCTTCCAGTTAATTAATTAATAAGAACAACTGTGACCCTTTAGATGATGTTCAAATTTTATCATCTTGTGTTCTGGATGAGAATGTGGCACTATGGCTGCCATCAATGGAAGTCTCAGGACGGTGGACAAGAGCTGGGATAAAAGGTTATGTGTTGTGGTAGCTGATGAGAAAGAGTCGATTAAACATTCTTGGGCAACAAAGGCATCATATGCATGGAAAGAATTTCAGTTTTACTACCCTGCTTTATTTGTTCTACAAGATTTAAAGATCCCCTTCTATCTGGAAAACTTTCACAACTCCTCCTATCTAATTTATTATTCTTTCTCTTCTTTTATAATGTGTTGAGTTTATGGTGATCTTAGCACTTAATGTAGAATACCATAACTGTGATTTTACTTGTGTGATTATCTCCTTAGACTGTGAGCTCCCTAAGGCATAGGATTGTGTTGGATTCTTTTTGAATCTAAATGCCTCAAATGGTACCTAGCCCCTATAAGACATTTAAACTATTTTTAGATGAATAAATAAATAGACGAACTAAAAGTGAAAACTTTCAATTTCTGTGCTATTTGGGCTTGCATGTGTAACTAAATGTTTAATAAAGAAAAATAAAACAGGTAAATTAGAGGTTATTTTCAAAACTCTTCAGAAGAGTCGCTGAATCAACTTGGAAGCCAGAATGTTTCCAGATAATATTATAATAGAAATGCAACTTTGGGGAAAGATAGAATATAGGGAATGGCTCACCCTTGATATATTAATAAGCACTTTGGATTCATGATGCCACTTAAAGTATGCTTAGAATACTCATTTTATTAATAGCTGCTATGGTTTTCATGCATGTGCCTTTCCAAAATTCAAATGTTGGAATGTAGTGCTGTAGACCACTAGAACTTACTACTTCTAGCTTTAATTTTACATCTGTTAACTAAGCTCTCCCTACCTCCCTACCCTTTGCAGCCTCTAGCAACCACCATTCTACTCTCTACCACTATGTGATCAAATTTTAGCTTCCACATATGAGTAAGAACATGTGGTATTCATCTTCCCATGCCTGGCTTATTCCCCTTAACATAATGTTTTCCAATCTCATCTGTTTTGCCAAGGATGACAGAATTTTATTCTTTTTATGGCAGAATATTATTTGGACATAAAAGTGAATGAAATACTGATATACACCACATTGTGGATGAACCTCCTAAATATTATGCTAATAAAGGAAGTTATACATAAATGATCCCCTATTATATGATTGAGCAAAGGACTAATTTGCTAAAGTGAACTGTAGGCTAGAGAACTAACAAGAGAAAATGAGAGAAAAGCCACAATGAGGTACCATTTCATACCCACTAGGAAGAATATAATTAAAAAAAGGTGGGGGGATAACAAGTGTTGATGAAAATGTGGAAAAATTAGAACCCTCATATATTGCTGATGGAAATAGTTCAATCTCTGTGGAAAACAGTTTTGTGGTTCTTCGAGAAGTTAAAAATAGAATTCCCATATAACTCTGCAATTCCATCCCTAGGTACAAACCAAAAAGAATTTTGAAAACGAGTATTCAAACAAGTATATGTACACGCCTGTGCATAGCAGAATAAGCCATAATAGCCAAAAGGTGAAAACGGCCAAAATTTCCATCAACAGATGAATACATAAACAAATTATGGCACTGCATATACATACAATGGAATATTATTTTGATATAAAAGTGAATGAAATACTGATATACCCACACTGTGGATGAACTCCCCAAATATTATGCCAAAGAAGGAAGTTAGACACAAAATGTCCCATGTATATGATTCCATTCATAAAATACTCACAATAGATCGTTCCATATAGACATTGTAGACTGGTGTTTTCTAGGGAATAAGGGAAGTGGGGAATGAGAAGAAACTGCTTAGTGGGTAAGGGTTACTTTACAGTGATAGAAATGCTTTGGAACTGAAGTTGGTTGCAGAGCCTTGAGAGTGTACTAAATGCACTGAATTATTCTCTCTAAAATGGTTTGTTTTGTGCTTATGTGAATTTTGCCTCAACATTTATTTTTTAAAAATAATGATAGATATTTATTTATATATTTATGCAAATGAGTTTAAGAAGTGGGGTGGTAGCACACAGAATTTGGATAAGATCTCAAACTTAATTTTAAGAGTAAATAGATTTCTTTTATAACTAAATTTCTTAATCATAGGAACTATAAATGTAGGATTTGAAAGTAAGGTTAAACTGCTCTAAATATGAACAGCAATGCCAAAGACAGTTTGTTTTAATTATAATAACAACAACAATAATAACAAACATCTGGAAAATGCATCTTCAAAAGTTCAATTCCACTAACAATGACCAAAACAATAACATGTTCAATCCTCTGTATCTGCTTTACATTGCTTTGGAAAGGGCTTCAAGTTTTCACTTTCCTTTTAAGAAATACTGTTGAATTGCTTGACTAAAATCAAAATGATGTTTTTCTATAAAACAAATAACTTTCTTGCTGCTTTTTTCTAAATTTACTTTATATACAATCTTAGAAATAACATATCTTATCCTAATCTGCCAGCCCCCTCTTCATTATACAGCTATCACCATAATAACCCTCAAGGAATGATTTAACTTCATAATTATAAGGACTCAAAGAATGATTAGAACAATGTTTTCCTTCTCTCTCATTTCCTCTTGTTAATTTTCTAGCCTGCAATCCGCCTTTCTTTTAATGTTCACTGTCGGGGCCCAATAATGCCCTCTGGTAGAAGCAGGATGAGGAGTTTACTCATGCTGCAGAATGATGACTGTTTCTTCACAGCAGTGGGATGCACAAGCATATTGAATTGATTGTTGGCTTGCTTTCCCCATTTCCTTTTAAAATTTGTTGTTTAAAAACCTGTAATGACAAATATTAATTTTGACTTTTTGGAAAATATCAATAGCTATTTTCAGAGTTCGTCTGTAGAGCAATAGTGACTGGGCATACTTTACACGTATCTTCCATTTCACATATCTTCCATTTATATAATTGAATGTAAATGTACATCGTGATTTTATGGACATGTAAATTCATTGACATTTTATCCCAGAGATTGAATTTAAAACAGTGGATTTTGTATGTGTCTGCTTTTCACCCTCACTACTGGTCCTACTTAATTGGGGAGAAACTTTTGATTCTGGAAGATTGGAAAATAAATTAAGGTGCAAATAAGGATGCAATTGAGAAGGAAATGTAAATACATTATAAAGATGGGGTCGAATCACGCTAAAGAAAATTGAGATTTTAAAGTGGCTAAGATGAGAAAATACAAGCTATTAAATAAGTGCTTTTTGAAAAGTTAGTTATTGATTTGTATCAAAAATAATGTTAAACCCCAACTTAACCCTATACCAAAAATTGAAGATGCTCAAGTGTCTTAAATATAGAAAAGATATGACAGTGCTTGATTGGAATATGAGAAAATAGTTTTATAATGATAGACATATAGGCTTATTACTTAATTTTTAGAACTGTAAACTTTGGATTTGGCAATATAAAATTTTAAATCAGTATAGTAAAATATAAAAGATGGAATATAAGATGCAGATTTGGAATAAATATCTGTAGAATATTTATTAAATAAATAAATTATCATCCATTATATATGAATTCCTTTCTATACAAAATCCCCAAACAATGTAAGAGCAAAGCATGCAGAGCATCTTAATGAAAAATTTATGGTAGGCCACACAAATGGCCAATAAGTACCTGAAAAATGCTCAGACTCATTGAAAATGAGTGAAAAAGGAATTGTTTTACATCAATCAATACTATTTGTTACATATTATATTGGAAAAATTAAAGGATGGATGATATTTAGTATTGAACATGAATGGAAATTAAGACAGGAAAATAAATCATTTTTTGAGGTCTACTTATGCATAACTAAATTTTAAATAGACATAACCTTTTATTAGAAATTCCTTTCAAAGTATTCAAACAAAAGAAAAGTTTGTACATGTGCCCAACTATGATCTGTAAAAGAGTATCAGGGTAACACATTTTAAGAAATTTTTTTTTTTTCAATAAAGACAGTGTCTCACTATTGTCACCCAGGCTGGAGTGCAATGGCACAATCTCAGCTCACTGCAACCTCTGCCTCCTGGTTTCAAGTGAAACTCCTGCCTCAGCCTCCTGAGTAGTTGGGATTACAGGTGCCTGTCACCACGCCTGGCTAATTTCTGTATTTTTAATAGAGACGGGGTTTCACCAAGTTGGCCAGGCTGGTCTCCAGCTCCTGATCTCAAGTGATCCTCCCGCCTCTGCCTCCCAAATGCTGGGATTAGAGATGTGAGCCACTGCACCTGGGCAAGAGAAATTTTTAAAAGCCATGAACATGTTCATCCGTAGAAGAATGTTTGATTGAACCATGGTACATCTGCTTTAGGGAATATCCTGTGCCCTTTACAAAAAATGAAGTAGATTTGTGATAATGTGGCAGTATATTCATGAATTTTTGTTCCATGAAGGAATATATATACAGATTTTAATTTGCAAAAGATATTTATAGTATGATTTTTTTGTTTAAAAAATCCATATGATGATGTGTATAGAATATTTACTAAACTGCATAGAGAAAAGGCCTGGATGGTTATTCAAATATTTTATCTGATGAACAGAAAAGAATGTATTGAGGAATAGTGAAGCTGACATTTAAACTTTACCTCATACACTCTGAGATTGTTTGATGTTAATGGAATTGTAATAATTTTAAATATGACAAGTGGAGTGGAGAAAAACAAGAGATATGTTTGAGTTTTACTTGTGTTTGATTTTTAAATTGAGATTTTAGATTTTTCATAAATTAGGTGTTCTAGGACAAACTCTCCTAAACATTTAGTTGGACTTAATAGCTATAGCAATTAAAATGAAGTCACTTTTCAAATTAACCTTTCGATGACATTACAGATTGAAATAAGATGAGTTTATTCTAACAAGGCTTTAAGGTATGTCCTTTGCATATGTGTTTCTACGAGAGAGCTCAAAATTGCAAGGTGTCTAAATCAGAATGGCCATGAGGGAATATGGACCTACACATCTTCTGAAGTGTTAGAGAAATTATAAAAACCAAACAGAAATTACTCACCTTGTGAAAAAGTAATCTTTAAGTGTTACAGATTTCCTTGGATCTTGAAAATAACTTTATTGCATTTCACCTTGCCTGAACTTGTAACTCACAACACATTCTTTTTTTTTTTTTTTGAATGCTATGAAAACTACTCACTCTAATGTTAAAGCAAATCTTTGATATCTGTACATGGTTTTCATTTATGTGTTTATGCTAACAAGTAGACCATAATAAGGGATTTGTCATTTTGGCTGCCTTTTCTAGCCTTTAATATGAAATAGCATATATTCAAAATAATTTTTAGTGAAATAATTTAATTATACTCAAGTTATAAAATGTGCTTTCCTAATGTTATATGAACAGGGACTTTAAATATATTTTTAAATAGTTTACAATCATTGTTTTGAAATGAGTGTTTAAAAAAGTATGCTTAATCCTTGCCTTTTATTTTCCTTATAATTAGTTGATTGCTATTTTTTTTAAATCTTAACTACTGAATTTCACAATAAAAATATAACAATCTTTAAAACTTATAGACAGTACTAGTGTGTCTCAGCAGAATAGAAACATATCTGAATATGTTATAAATTCTCTACTGAAGGGGCCAATTAAATAAAACATTTTATTCATGCATTTATTCATTTTATTCATACTGTTTTCTTCATATGTTTATCTTGGTGAATCAGAATAAATAAGAGAGAAGAGACTGATTTATTACAGAGAACCGTCCAAAGATGATGTTGTCTTTTTTTTTTACTGGTACAAAAGTCAAGTAGGCATGATACTATTCTTTAATCAGTTACTTGGGCATATTGTCATGTGTTTTGTAGATGGAATAGTTTGTTAAAACATAGAAGTTATAGAGATATCCTCCTTATTCTTCCCACTTTTCACTCTTTTTGTTTTTCGTAATCTTTAGAACTCTTATTCAAAAAATTTAGACAATTCTAAATTAGTTACTGTTACTAAAGAATTTCCCTGACTTTAAAGGAAATGTTCATTTATGTACCTAAAAGTTATAATGTATGATAATCTGGTTTGGGCAGAATTATAGGCATTTGACATCCCTTTAGTTTTTGTGAATCTTTCTAGAATAATATGAATGCAACAGCTTTTCTGATAATGCTCCTATCTACAATAGATGTTATTTTATAGCAGATTATATTTAGTTTATCTATTGCAAATATAGCCTATCTTAGATAGATTGCACTGTGCTGTTGTGAGTTTCTCCCTGTGCTATTCCAGCTGTCTTCTTGAATTTCCGCAATATTAATAACCAGCATTTGGCGTAAGGTAATTTACATGAAAAAACACATTGTATGAATTGTATGATTTTCACTCCTTCCATGTTATGCCACTCAACCTATATGGTTATGGCCTGCTTTTCTGAATTGAAGAGTAATTGCAAGGTGGTTATAAGGTCATTTTGTAAATAAGATACAAGGCATTGGTAATGTGCATATTCTGACTTCAATTCGATGTCTTTCGGTAAACTTGTAGCCTCAGTGTTGACATATTAATAGGAAACGTGTTGATTTGTTTCTCTTTCAAGCTCTAATTTGATGATTAGCTATTACTTATGACTTAGAAAAACCTGTGTAAAACAAACAACAATAGAAGAAACTATATTGTGGCATGTTTTTAAGTAAAAGTTAATAGAGTCAAAGTAAGAAATATTACATATGTGGCATGTTACGCAAGTAGGAAACAGTCTCATTGGGACTTCCAAAACATTAAAGAGAAAAAAATCACAGCTTTGCAAAATACTCTGTATTTATATCACTTTTCAGAGGCCTAATGAAACATTTTACATATTATATAGTATACTCTTTAAGGGAATTACAAAAATTGCTACTTTTTTAAAAAAAAGATGTTCCACTAAAAGAAGATATTAAAAATGATTTCAGATGATGTAGGACTCCTGGCTGGGCAGATGGATTCTACCAGATAGTTTTTGATGAAAATATGGTCAATATTAAGAATAAATTTTCAGATATGTTAGGAATTTGTATAAGCTAGATTGCTCCATATGGATAGATTTATATTATAAAGTTTAAGAAGAATTACCAATTGCAGTCAGGTAAACTAAACTTTAGAAACATTAAACAATTTCAAAATTTTAGTCCAAGCTCATTAAATGATTCCTGTACCTTTTCTAGTGCCCTTTACTAATAATGACAAAGGGGGCAATCATTTATTTTGCCAGTGACTGGGGCCTTGAAACAATTGAGTCCATGCTAATAAGCTAGGAACCTTATTTCTCTAAACATGGAAGAAAACACATGTATAGAGGGTAAATTTATTCCTGTTATCATGACTTCCCAATTAAATCCCAGCTCCAGTATCTGCACAGTTAATGTCAACTCAAAACTGTTTTTATTACTTAGCCACCAATGTGGTCATCATTTTCCAATCTCGAATGAATGTTTTCACCTCACCTTGAAATATAAATATTATTATATGTAATATAAATATATCAAACATATTGGGTGCATTAGTGACTAAGAAAGTTTTCCTTCTTTTTTTTTTAACAAGTAAACTTAAACGTGTTTATCTGGTGGATTGTATTTGTGAGTGTATGTAGAACATACGTGGCTTGAACACATGTATTTCCTTTCTCCTAATCTATTTGAAGTATGCAACATCATCCTAAAGAGAGTTTCTATGAAGTCAAAGTTAATCTGAATTTTAACTTTTCTCTCCATGACTTTGATCCTTATAGCACAATTGACTTCAACAGTAGTTTCGAGATAAACTTACCGTGTTAAAACCCTTCTTGATGGTGACCCTATCAAATCTCTTGCAGTTTCTCAGGGCTCCTGTGCTTTCTCCGGCTCTTCACACTTTGCATATTATATTTCCTGTGTCTGAATTACCCTTTTCATATGGTTAACTCTCACTTATCTTTTAATACTCTGCTTTTAGCATTATATTAATAAATTCCCCAACTACTTTAAATGGATCTTCTGTGGGAGGTAATAGCAGGCTTCTTCCACAGCACTGAGTTACATTTTCCTATGATTTAAGGGAAGGACCATACCTTTTTTTTTTTTTTTTTTTTTTTTTTTTGAGTCCTGGACACTTAGGAAGAGCTCGGGTAGATAATTGTAATTTAATTAATTACTTGATTATCCAATTAATATAGCAAATACTTATGCACTATTTAGATCTGTGGTTTAAATATTTGCAATTGAAGTTTATATACACATATAAATAGCCCTTTTCGCTCAACTGCTGCTGCAAATCAGAGAGCATGGGATATTCTCATGCATGGAATTCATAAGTTTATTTTAGTCAAAGAAATTTAAAGTAAGCCATTTTCTTATTATAATTTTTCCATAATCGCAAGATTTATATATTTTTTGTAGCTGCAGAATGATACAATAGTACTTAATCATTCATATTATTGCTATCTTACGGTATAGGATTTAGGGGATTATCTGTGAAACTTCATATACATTAATTCACTGGCATCAAATACTGAATACTAACTTGGCTTATTTCCCTATCATTTCTTCCCACTTCACAGTAGGCCCAGTCAGGTGGTTGCTACATTAACTTCTCCACAAAACTGCCTTTCAAATAAATCTCTCTTAATATTGTCCTTACATATAATTCTTTATTTTTTATGTATTGATTTGAAGTAATTTTGTTTATCACATTTTCTTGCATCTGGCATTTATTAAAATTGTTTTGAGAATATATTAAATGTCAGGTATAGTTCCAGGCACTTGGAATATGACAGTGAACCGCCACACTTTCCTTGCCTTCAAGAATCTTAGCATTTCAGGAGGAAGACCAAATGAGTCCAGGAAAGTTTTTGTCCTTACACTGTTTACCTCCTTCCAACTGTTTGCAAACCAAAAATTTTGATTTGCATGTAAGAAAATGAACATTTCTGGTTTGTTCTCAAATCTGCAGCTACAGGGGTCTTCTTCTCCGTTTCATCCAGAGTATCTGCTTGGCCTCCACCATGTCTGACATCTATTTTACTTATTTTCAGTTCAGCTCTTTATTTCATTGAAAAATGACATTGAACCATACATTGTACCTTTTCTCTGATAGTCTATTCAAGAAAGTTATATTGTTGTTGGCCAATGGAATCAGCGTTAAACAATTCACACCATTTTAAAAAATATTTTAAGTTGATAGAAGGGAAGAAAAGTAGCTCTAAACTAATGAAAATCTAAATTGTTCTGTAATAAATGAATTGATGAGAACTGATCCTATTTGGGATAACAAGATTATTGAATTTTAAATTAGGGGAAGTTAATGAATAAATTAATTATTTGACATGACAACTAACTTCTGGTTCTTTCACAATTCAGAAAAATGTCTCTCATCATATAACTTGGCTTCTTTTGTTTATGGGAAAGTTCTGTGTCCAAAATTCCATTCTATGACTTAGGGAATGTTTGAGATCCCCTCTGGTAGTTCAAATTGTGTTTCAATGGCACAACAAGATAGTAAAACATCTTGTCTTGTAAATCATTGCAAAATTTGTGGCAAATGGTCACAGAAGGGGAAGATATCTTTGAAGTATTGCAAATCAGATTCTCACAGTGTTCAAAATGAATCCTAAGATTATGAAACCATAGCACTACATCAAACTTGAATAAGGAAATAAAATATTTATTGAAAAATAGGAAAACCTACTCACTTTAACTGAGAAGAGGTCTTTGTGTCATTTTTTCTCCTTCATCTTTTTCTTCTTTATTCCATAATTCCTACTGACTTATTCTGGCTTGGTTTCAGAATGAATAGAGGAGAATAATAAAGAAAGTATAGTTTACTTCATCTTTTCCAGTGTTGCTGTTGCAAACCAGAGCCAGAAATGATATTCCTTCTTGCTCAATTTTCAAAAACAAATCATAACATTATAGAAATTATTATATAAATGCTTATATCTTATAAGGAACTTATTTAATTCTTACAAGAGTCCCATGAATGATCACATTTTACAGATGAGAAAATTGAGGACTAGAGCACATTGTAATTTTTCCAAGATCAAAGCTATAATTGTAACTGTGAATTTACTAGTTGTAGGCTTTTACATTTCTGGTTTCATAAAGGGGATTATACTCAATAAACATAGCTACTTAATGCCCAACTACAAAAATTCAGAGGTTAGAGGTTTTCATGTTCTTGCAAAGTATTAGACACTATGTGCTGTGACAGTCTCAAGCAGAGCAATATTCCAAAGAACTCTCAGTTTCAGAGCAGAGAGGCACACATTGATTTTACGGCAAGGCAGAACAGACTATGCCAAAATATAGAAGTCATAGTCATTTATGAGAAAGGCACTTAGGAAAGTTTATGGGCTCAAGTGAGGCTTCCTGGGGACAGTGACACCAGAGCTAGGTTTTGAGGGATGGGTAGGTAGTGATGAGAAGAACATGGATTGGATCAAAGAAGTGAAAGGTGACATCCAGTGACGCTACAATGCTGTTGTCACTTCTAATCTTATAATGAGTGCAAGGTCAAGGCAATCACAAGAGAACAGATAGAAACTGCCATGTTTGGTTTTGCTTTGGATTGACTGGAGAAGGCAAGGTTAATTAAATGGGGAACATACTTTTCTTTTTTTTCTTCTTCTTTTTTTTTTTGCCTGATCCAACCCTTTGACTCTTAAAATATCCAATGATATCCAATGATGAAATATCCAATGATTATTGTAGAGGTGAACACTCTTCCCTTGAGGAAATAGCCTCACTGTTGATAGCTTTAGTCAAAATCACATAATTTCACTCTGTGAAGGAATATAATGCAGGGTTTACAGGTCAGACTTAAAAAACCAGAATGCTTGGATTGAAATCCTGACTTTAACTATTGTCTTTTAGCAAGAATCTTTACCTCTTTTTGCCTCTGTGTTCTCATTTATAAAATGGGCATACTACTTAATGCCTAGACATAGAATTTTGTATTTATGGAATGAGAGAAACATGAAAAGTACAATGTCTAGTACATTGTCAGCACTCAATAAATATTAGCTTATTTGCTATTCAGTTGCAAAACTACATGGGACTCAACTCAAATATTCAAGCAAATAGAATCTTTATCTAAACTGGGACATGAAAAGTCTTGGAAACACAGATGCATTAGCTTGAATTTGGATATGGCTTATTTGGAGATTAATGTAAATCCAAAGAAAAATGTTCAAGAGAGTATGGGCAACTCACATTCTATCTGGATGTTAATAGTTAGCATTCCAACAGTGGATATGGCAGGATGGTAGAGTTGTTCAGGCTATAGCAGAACATGTCAGAACAATGTTTGCGTAATAACCAAGGGTAGTAGTGGTGGTTGGCAGGGATGGGCATAAATTTAACGGGACCCTAACAGGAATAATAAGAATATAGGGAAGCCTCTTCTAGGATATTAACTAGATCAAGTCTCAGTAGGAACCAGAGCCAAATCAGATACAAAAGCATCATGCTATACTATTGACTGTGAAGTCACTAAAGCATATAGAAGTTTTCAGCCTAATGAACACAAGGGTATACATTGTACCATGAGGTCCATGAAACTCAGAACCTAATAGGATAAATGAAAAATGAATATCTTGGATTGGCTTGCTCACTCCAGGTATACCAGTTGCCTTGGGTAAGAAATATACCTTCTAATTCTCTGTTATCTCAAATATAACACAAGCTTAGTAATATGTATTTTACAAGGTTGCTGTAAGTATGAGAAAAGATAATGTATTAAAAATGATGCAAATTTTGAAGCATAGTAACACAAATTTTGTTGTGGTTATTGTATTATTTTTATTCCTTTGTATCTCTTGAGGGTTCATTCTTATTCTACATGTCTCTTCAGAGGAGAATCTTGTGAAGATTTTCTATGTTCTAAAGTGTTTTTTTCTTAATATATCTGGGAACCCTCTTGCTTTTAACCTTACTTTACATACATTTTATTTACTCCAGCAGAATGTTTTTAACCCTCCAAACATCTTCTCTTACTTGGGAACTGTCCTCTCTAATGTAGATTATGTAGCTATTTGAGAAGTATTTATAAGCTTCAGTGTGAGTTAGAAGCACTGTTAGGGCAGTGTGCTTGTGTTGGGGAAAAAAATTAAAAGCTGGGGACTGACTACTTATTTTTCAATTGGAATTGCAATGTCAGAATCACTGTGGTAAGAGTTTGTTTTGCCTTAACTGAATGAAGTCACCTATTCATATTCACCTATTTATATTTACTAAGGTAATTAATTTTCATTTATTTCAACTCAGAAGACCTTCCATTCTTTTAAGCTCAGCAAAAGGTTTAAATTTACTTTGGATCCTGCTGTAATTAGAAAATTTATCTTTGAGTAATAAGCAATATACTAATCATGGAAGACTTTATTCTTACAGGATAATCATTTCATGACCTCCAAGTTGAAAGCTCACTTAAGCTAAAAGCATTGATGGTAAATTTTTATTTAGTTGTTTTCCTCTGTGTAAATACTTCACAACTAACATCCTTTGGTGGATGGCTTTATTAATGTACAAAACTGGTTCAGACTCTTGATTAAATTCTACTGACCTGAGGATAAAAATAAACCATTGTCTTTCCATGAACCACATTTACCTATTTATTCAGCGGCACTCACACTTTTTTAACATTCTATGGAGTATTATTTGTAAGCTAAACATCATGTTATAAAATGTAGCCTTTACTTTTCATTATTGTTTGAATTCTTATCTGGAAAAATTGAACATTCTCATCTGATCTATGCATATAAAGTCATGACCAATAAATGTGAAGGAAGAAATGTGCATGGTTGACATGTTAGCACCCTCAAAATACAAAGAATTATATTGAAACAGCAGGCTTTGACCTTTTCCCCCAATGATATACATATTTTATTTTTGGATACATATCCCCAACTTGCTTTCCCAAAAAGCAGCTTTAATTCACACTCTCACCAGCAGATTTTATTGTGCTGGTTTCCACAGATTTTTTTGAGCAGTGGGTGTGCTCAGTCTTTAAAACCTTTTCAAATCTGAGTTATAAACGATAAATCTCAATGTTGCATTTATTTGTTTTTAAAGCAAATATTATGAATGAGACTATGTATTTACCACCATGTTTATTCATTAATAAGTTTTCTTACACTGTGATTTCCTTACTTATAACTTTTGCCTATTTTTCTTTTGGGGTGTTAGTCTCTTACCTATCTTTTTTATTAGGCCATTTCTACACTTTAATAGGTAATTGTGTTTCATAACTTATTACATGTTCAGCAGGATTTCACTTTTAAAGCAAAAGATCTGGCTAGGTATGTGATGGTTAGGTTCTTTCAGAGTTGTGAGTTCTTTACAAAAGAACATTCTCAAAATTCTGGCTTGAGACATTTGAAATATTTTTTTCCCATATGCAACATAGCAACATATGGTTACATGGTCTCTCATTGATCAGGAATTTTAAGTACTGTGACAGGTTTTTGATTCTTTGATTTGTTTTTTAGTTTTTGGTTTTTTTAAGTGCAGGTATACACAAGTGGATAATTTATAATTTTTGGTTAATGAAAGAGTCTCATCATTGGTTCACACATACTCTGTTTTTGTTTAAGTAGAGATTTATTTACTTATTTATTGTTAAAAATGCACTGAGCAATGATGAAGTCACTCCTATAAATGAAAACTAGAACTTGACAATTATCTCTAATTTTCTCCCTCCATTCCATTCACCTGCCTCTGGCTACTCAAGGCAATCAGCACTCTAAATACACTACTTCTCGTTTTTATATAGTCATTTACCAATATACATCCTTAAATGTATATTCTTTGGTTGTAGTTATGTTTAAAAAAAACTTTAGACAAATTAAATATAACAGAATCTATTAGAGCAAAGAACAACCCATGAATTGAACAGTACTGAGAACCAGAAGAGGTTTAGAGAGCTCTGCTCAGCAATATGAGGAGTGCGCTTTAACAGGCCAAATACAGACGCAAATTACAGAAACCACCTGATTAGCTGCAAGTAGGCATCTGGCCTTTTGAGTGTGGTGTAACGAGCTGGTTGCTTGTGATTGGATGAAACATAGCTGCTTGTGATTGGATGAAACTTGGCTGTTTGTTATACTTCTAAATTAGGTTTCAGTTTCTTTATGGTTTGGCTGTGTTCCCACTCAAATCTCATCTCAAATTGTTATCTCCATAATTCCCACCTGTGGAGGGAGGGACCTTGTGGGAGGTGATTGGATCCTGGGGAGTGGTTTCCCCGAAGCTGTTCTCGTGATAGTGAGTTCTCACGAGATCTGATGGTTTTATAAACAGCAGTCCCCGACGGGCTTTTCTGTTTCCTACCGCGTTGTGAAGGAGATTCTTGCTGCTTCTTCGCTTTCTGCCATGATTGCAAGTTTCCTCCGGCCTCCCCAGCCATGTGGAACTGTGAGTAAATTAAACCTCTTTCCTTTATAAATTACCCAGTCTCAGGTAGTATCTTTACAGCAGTGTGAGAATGGACTGATACAATTAGGTTGCAGTTTTCTACATAGGGGCTCAAGGGGTGTAGGCTGACTCAGGCCAAATTTGATTTAACAGTTGCTTGTAACTTTATGAAATATTATCGTTATACTATATGTAGTACTTAGGGGAATGTGTTTTTTACTTACCTTTTGTTTTAAAGATTCATTTAATTTTTTTGTGTCTAGGTAATTTAAAAAATCAGTCTTTTATAGTGACAGAGTATTCTGTTCTTCCAAATGTTACTCACTTTGATACTGAGATTTAAAAAAAAACAGCAATCATTATAAGTTCAGAGAATCACTGACAGGATGTCATCACAATAAGAACTGCTTTTTTATTTGGTCGTAGTGATTTTACTTGTTTCCTCAAACTCATGAGAGTAGCCTTTATTTTGCTTATTATTAGTTTTATTCAAATAAAAGAGCTGGCTAAAATTGAGACTAAAACAAAGAATAATTTTCCCAACCAACTCTTTTAATCATGCTGCCCAGAAACCCCTCTCTGTTTATGTAGACTGCATTCCTACTTCACACAAACAAGGTTATAATTATTAGAAACACCTTTATAGTGTTAAACTTACGTAATTAGCCTTACACTAGGCATATTTTTTCTCACATTTACTTTAAGCAAACTATGTTTTAAAAATCTATTAAAATCTGACACATATGGGACTTTGAGTCCGTTTATTTGCTTAATTTAATTGGTTCTAATTAGGAAGTGAGCACCAATTAGATAGGTATTAATTGATTGTGAGACATCTGTATCTCAGAAGTAGAACTATAACTATAGTGCTGATTATCTTTTTTTCATCCTTCCCATGACAGCCATAATACCAAGTTTTCTAATGAGAAATAATCTTAATAATCACATAGTCCAGTGGTTTTCAATTCTTCCTGTATATTAGAAATACTGGGGAATCATTACCCTGCCAGAATTATATTTATAATAATCAGAAACTGGAACAATGCAAATTACTATCAATAAGTTAATAATTCTGTGATATAATAAAGTGGACTATTACCCACCAATGAAAATCAGCATATTGAGTAAGAGAAGCTAGACACAATAAAATACATACTGTATGACTCCATTTATACAAAGGTCTAGAGTAGGTCAAATTAACCTATTATGGGAGGAATGAGAAGATTAGCTGTTTGGGGGCAAGAGAAGGGAGTATTAACTGTTTAAAAGCAAAGGGGAATTTTCAGAGAAGATAATATTCCAAGTATTTTCTAACATTTTATTATGAAAACTTTCAAATACACAGCAAAGCTGAGGGAATTTTACTGTAAATATCCATGCCCAAGATTCTACCATTAACATTCTACTATGATCCTTTTGTTGCAAAAGTATCCATTTATCCATAAATTTATCCATCCTTTGATGCATCAATTATTTTTGTGTATCTCAAAGTAACTATATTAACTATATTAATATAGTTACCATTTGTTTACCATTTATTACCATTTAGTACCATCAGCAATCAGCATGCATATCATTAACTAGAGTTCAATACTTTAGTTTTTATCCTTTTGAGTAATATTTACATGCAACGAAATGCCTGAATGTTGTTTATATTTACAGAGTTTCGACAAATGAATACACCTGTGTAATCCAAACTCCCATGAATATATACAACATTCCTATTATCACAGAAAATTTCTTTATGCTCTTTCTTGGTATTGGCACTGTCAATACCCCCAGAGGCAATCATTGTTCTGGCTTGTTTGCACAATAGATTATTTTGCTTGTTCTATAATTTCATATGTATGTAATAATACAATATAAAATTGTTTGTGTCAAGCTTCTTTTATCTTCTTGAGATTAATTCATGTTGATATGTGCATTTGCAATCTATTTCCTTTTAATGTTGAGAAATAGACCATTGCATGAATATATCAGCATTTATATATACTCCTATTCATGGACACTTGAAATGTTTCAAGTTTGTGCTGCTATAAATACAGCTTCTTTGACCATTTTTGTACAAGTCTTTTTTTGCGAATGTATGTTTTAATTTTTATTGGAAAAATATCTATAAGTAGGAGTGTTGGTCACATCACTGGCACATGTTTAATTTTATAAGAAACTGGCAGACTTATTTTCAAAAAATTTGTCTTTTAAAATCTTTCCACTAACAATGTGTGTGAGTTTCAGTTGCCCAAGAATCCCCAGAATATGTAGTTTTATCAGTCTTTTTAACTTTGTGTATTCTGGTGGGAATGTAGTGGCATTTCGTAGTGATTATAATTTTCATTTCCCTAGTAATAATTTGAGTACTTTTTTTTCCGTGTGATCATTGGTTGTTTGTATATCTTTATCCATTTTGTTAATTTTTTACTGGATTATTAATCTTTTTTATTCAGTTGTAGAAATATTTTATATATTACACAATTGCTTTTTTGGATGTATGTTATGGAATATTTTCTCCCTGTTACTTAATTATTCATTTAATATCATTTTATGACCAGGCATTTTTAATGAGTTTATCAATTTTTTACTTTCATAGTTATTGTTTTCTGTGCATTTCTAAGAAATGTTTATATATTTCTGACTCGTGAAAATATTCTTTAAGGTTTTATTCTAAAAGCCTTATGTATTAGGTTTAGAACTATAGTCTATCTTGCAATAATTTTCTGTGTGATGTGAGGTAGGAGTCAAGGCTCATTTTCTTCACATGGGTATACTGTTTTCTCTGCATCATTTGTGGAAATTCTCTTTTCTCGTTGGATAACTTTGGTGACTTTAAAAAAATCAAATGACAATAGAAATATTCTATTTCTAGAGTTTCTAAGTCTTGGAATCAGGTAATACAAATTTTCCAATATCGTTATTTAATGTTGCTTTTGATATTCTGTATCTAAATTTTGATATATTTCGTAAAAATATTTGAATATGTACAGAATCATAGTATCAATGAAGAGAGATAAATTGACTTCTTTTCCTGTTTGGATGCCTTTTATTTCTTTATCTTGCCTGATTGCTCTGGCTAGGACTTCCAATACTATGTTGAATAGCAGTGGTAAGAGTAGGCATTATTGTCTTGTTAGAGTTCTTAAGGAGAATGCTTCAGGCTTATGTTAAGTATGCTGTTGGTTGTGGGTTTGTCATAGATGACTCTTATTATGAAGGTCTAATATCCAGAATCCACAGGGAACCTAAACAATTCAACAAGCAAAACATACCTATTGAAAAGTGGGCAACACACATGAACAGACACTTAAAAGAAGACATATAAATGGCCAACAAACATATGAAAAAATACTTAACATTATTAATCAGAGGAATGCAAAACAAAACCACAACGATAAAAAGCCAAAAATAGGCCAGGCACAGTGGCTCACGCCTGTAATCCCAGCACTTTGGGAGGCTGAGACGGGCGGATCACGAGGTCAGGAGATCGAGACCATCCTGGCTAACACAGTGAAACCCGTCTCTACTAAAAATAAAAAAAAAAAATTAGCCGGTCGTGGTGGTGGGCGCCTGTAGTCCCAGCTACTTGGGAGGCTGAGGCAGGAGAATGGCATGAACCTGGGAGGCGGAGCTTGCAGTGAGCCGAGATCGCGACAGTGCGCTACAGCCTGGGCGACAGAGGGAGACTCGTCTCAAAAAAAAAAAAAAAAAAAAAAGCCAAAAATAACAGATGTTGATGAAGAGTAAAGGGAACGTTTATTTCTGATGGGACTGTATGCTTTTGTAGTTGTTCTCTGGTTATTTAGGGAATGTAAATTAGTTCAGCCACTGTTGGAAGCAGTTTGGAGATTTCTCAAAGGGCTTAAAATAGAACTACAATTCGACCCAGAAATCCCATTAGTGGGTATATACCAAAAGGAACATTGTTCTACCGAAGATATACCTGCACGTGTATGTTCAACCCAGCACTATTCACAATAGCAAAGACGAGGTATCAACCCAGTTGACCATTAATTGGTCATTAATATTAGTTGATTGAATAAGGAAAATGTGATATATATGTATATATCTCACATATATAATATATACACCGTGTATATATGTGATATATATATCATTGTGATAAATGTGATCTATATATATCACACACATATATATGTATTTATGTGTGTGTGTATATATTACCATGGAATACTACACAGCTATAAAAATCATGTCCCTTTGCAGCAACATGGATGCAACCAGAGGCCATTATTCTAAATGACTTGATTCAGGAACAAAAAACCAAATATCACATATTTTCACTCATAAGTAGGAAGTAAGCATTAGATGCACATGGACATAAAGATGGGAATAATAGACACTGGGGACAAGTAGAGATAGGAGAGAAGGAGGCAGGCAAGGGATGAAAAACTACCTATCGCCTAGTATACTCACTACATACGTAATGGGATCATTTGTATCACAAATCCTAGCATTACGCAATATATCCATGTAACAAACCTGCATATGTACCCCCTGAATTTAAAATAACAGATGACATTTTATGTTAAAGTTTGTCAATTATTTCAAATTTTTTTGGGGGATTGCATTGAATCTGCAGATTACTTTTTGCAGAATTGATATCTTAACCATATTGAAACTTCCAATCAATCCACCTATTTAGCTTTTAAATCTCATTTATCAAAATTTGTAGTGTTTGGAATATAGGTATTGCACATCATTTGTTACCCTTGTTGTTAAGCATGTTCTTTGGAACCTATTGTAAATCAATTTATTTTAAAATTTTATTCTGCAATTTCTGCTGGCAGTATATATAAAAATACAATGACTTCTGTATATTAATATTGTACCCTGTGGCATTACTTAATTTATGTATGCTTAGTAGTTTTTATACTACACAGGAATTTTACATACAAAATTATGTGCCAATAGACGGTTTCATTTATTTCAGATTTCTAACTTTTATTTTGTCTCTGTTTCTTATTTCAATGGCTTTTACCTACAGCGTGATATTGAGTAGGAGGGGTAAGAATGAGCATCCTTGTTTTTTTACCAATTATTGTGGGAAAGTATTCAATAGTTTACCTTCATATGTGATGCCAGCTGTTTTCTCTAAATGTTCTTTACCAATTTGCTGATAATTTTAAAATTATAAATCGATATTGTTTTATATATAATCTTTGCATCTTTTGAATTAATCATATGGTTTTTCTCCTTTATTCCTTTGTAATAATGATTTGCATTAATAGATTTTTGAATGCTATACCAATCTTGCATTCCTGGCACATCCACTAACTTTTCCTCATTATCTATCTGTTTATATATTGCTGACTTTCATTTGCTTGTATCTTAGTAATAGTTTTCTTGTTTCTATTCATGAGGGACATGAGTACATATTACAATTTTTATATTTTTGTCAAGTTTTGTAGTAGGATTATGCAAGCTTTATAATAAATGGGAATTATATCCTCTCAATTTCTAAAATAATATGTATCAGATTGCTGTTTTTTTTTCTTAAATATCTGATAACATTTACAAGTGAAGTGATCTGTGCCTTGGGTTTTCTTTGTGGAAAGGTTCTTCATATTCTATCTCTTCCTGTCTGTCTGTCTCTCTGTCATTCTTTGTATATATCTATCTACGCATATACACATGTAATTATAAAGGGCTATTCTGATAGACTGTTTTATATTGTGCTACTTTTTCTTGGTAAGTTGTACTTTTCAAGGAATTTGTTCATCTTATCTATGTTGCTAAATACATTGGCATACATTGTGTTATATCACAACGATAACATCTACATTGATAAGCCCTGTTGTATTTCTGATGTTGGTATCTTGTACTTTTTTCCTTTATTAATCAATATCTCAAAATATTTCTTCATTATCTTCAGCTTTTCTATTAGCCAGATTTTGGCTTTGATAATTTTCTTGATTGTTTATTTTATATTTGATTTTCTGCTCACTTATTTATTCTTTCCTTTAAGTAACTTGCACTTACTTTAGTCTTTTTCTTTTTTAGCTTCTTAAGGTGAAACCTTAGATCATTGAGTTCAGAGTTTTCTTGTTTTGAAATACAAGCATTAAAGCTGAAAATTTCCCTTGAAACATTTCTTTAGCTGTATAACACAAGTTTTTATATGTCTATTATTCAGTTTGAAACATTTTCTAATTTCCATTGGGTTTTTTCTTTCACATGTAAATTATTTAGAGGCATATTTAATTTTTCAATATTTTGTGGTTTGTGGATATATTACTATTATTGATTTCTAAATGTAATTACATATTGAATAACCTTACTGTGACTACTGTAACAAATTATGACAAACTCGATATCTTAAAACAACACAAATATGTAACAATACTCTGGGTATCATCCATCTTGGGGGAAAATTCCTCTTCTATGGACTTCCGAAAGTAGAAGACAAGTTATCTGCCTCCAAGATACAGTGGTTAGAGAGACATGGGATAACAATTGTAGGAATTACTGTTCCTAAAGGGAGAAAACGGAAGAAAGGAATAATCAGTTTCAAGAAATTTTGAAATCTAACTAGAAAAATTCCATTATGTTTCAAAGCCTAGGATTAACTCTCTGTCGTTTGAGACTCCATGCCTAAGCCCAAGATTCTGCCCTTGAAGGTGTTCTTCCTTTTTCTGGAAAGAGAGTGCATATTTGCAGCTGAGTAGTTTTATCAGCCTGTTTCCTGTCTGTAAAATTTTGGGAGACCAACAACTTTTTTATTTTGCCTCCATCTCAATCCAAGCTAGTAATGTTTCTGGTGACATAACATTATCATTTAGGTATATGATCTGTCTTTAACATAGCATGTACACCTGGAAGAAATGTGTGTTCCGCAGTTATCTGGTTTAGTGGTCTATAAATATCAATTAGGCCAAAGTTGTTGATTATCTTATTTAGATCATCTGTATCTAATTTGTATCTGCATCTAATATGTATCATTTGTATTTCTAGTTTTAGTTTGTTTTTGTGGGTACATAGTAGGTGTATATATTTATGGATGTTTTATGCAGACATGCAATGTAAAATAATTAAATCACGGACAATGGGGGTATCCATCCCCTCAAGCTTACTATCCTTTGTATTAAGAACAATTCAATTATATCCTTTTAGTTATTTAAAAATGTACAATTATTTCTGACTATAGTCACCCTGTTGTGCTATCAAATAGTAGGTATTATTCTTTCTAACTATTTTTTTACCCATTAACCATCCCCAACACTTGCCCAGCCACCCACTATGCCTCCCAGCCTCTGGCAACCATCCTTCTACTCCCTATGCCCATGAATTCAATTGTTTTGATATTTAATTCCCACACATAAGTGAGAAAATATGATGTTTGTCTTTCTGTGCCTGGCTTATTTCACTTAACACAATGATCTCCGGTTCCATCCATGTTGAAAATAACAGGATCTCATTCTTCTTATGACTGAATAGTACTCGTTGTGTTTATGTACCACATTTTCTTTATCCATTCATCTGTTGAGAGACACTTAGGTTGCTTCCAAATCTTAGCTATTGTAAATACTGCTGCAACAAACATAGGAGTGCAGCTACCTCTTCAATATACTGATTTCCTTTCTTTTGTGTATATACCCAGCAGTGGGATTGCTGGATCATATGGTAGCTCTATTTTTAGTTTCTTGAGGAACCTCCAGACTTTTCTCTGTAGTAGTTATGCAAATTTACATTCCCACTAATAGTGTACAAGGGTTCCCTTTTCTCCACATCCTTGACAAAATTTATTGCCTGTCTTCTGGATATAAGCCATTTTAACTGTGGTGAAATATTTCTCATTGTAGTTTTAATTTGCATTTCTCTGATCAATGATGTTCAGCACCTTTTCATATGCCTGTTTGCCACTTGTATGTGTTTTGAAAAATGTCTATTCAAGGCTTTGCTTATTGATCAGATTATTGGATTTTTTTCTTGTAGAGTTTCTTGAGATCTTTATATATTCCGGTTATTAATCCCTTGTCAGGGGTAGTTTGCAAATATTTTCTTCCATTCTGTGAGTTGACTCACTTTGTTGATTGTATTCTTTGCTGTGCAGAAGCTTTTTAACTTGATGTGATCCCATTTGTCTATTTCTGTTTTGGTTGCCTATGCTTCTGGGACATTGTTCAAGAATTTTTTGCCCATACCAATGTCTTGGAGATTTTTGCCAATGTTTACTGGTAGTTTATACTTTGAAGTTTTAGATTTAAGTCTTTAATCAACTTTGATTTTATTTTTGTACATGGCAAAAGATAGGGGTCTAGTTTTATTCTTCTGCATATGGATATCCAGTTTTCCCAGCACTGTTTATTGAAGAGACTGTCTTTTACCCAGTGTATGTTATTGGCACATTTGTGGTAACTCTCTAGATAAAGAAAAGCTGAGCACATTCATCACCATCAGATCAGTTGTACAAGAAATGATAAAGGGAATTCCATAAGCTGAAAGAAAATTAGCAACATGAAAAAATATGAAAGTATAACAATGACTGGTAAAACTAAGAAGTCAAATTCAAAATACTATAATAATGTAATGGTATATAAACTGCTTTTATTCTTAATATGAATGTTAAAAGACAAAGCTACTAAAAATAATAGCTGGCTATAATAATTTTTAAGGGATACACAATAGAAGAACATATAAATTGTGATGTCAAACATAAGATGTGACGGTAAAAAGTTTTAATGCAATCAAAGTCAAGTTATCAATTTAAATTAGCCTGTTTTAAATATACAATATTTTATGTAAACATCATGCTAACCACAAAACAAAAGCCTATAGTAAATACGCAAAAATAAAAGGTAAGGAATCGAAGCATATCACTAGAGAAAATTACCTAATCCAAAAGGAAGCCATCAAGAAAAAGTAACGAAGGATCTATACAACATTTAGAAAACAATTAAAAAATGACAGTAGTAAATCTATAATTACCTTGAGTGTAAATGGATTAAATTCTCCAATAAAAAGTAGATAAATAGATACAAAAAAGTCCCAACTCTATACTACTTATAAAATTCTCGCCTCACCTTTAATCACACACATAGACTGAAAGTGAAGGAATGAAAAAAGATTTCATGCAAATGGAAACCAAAAGAGCAGAAATATCTATACTAGATAAGGTAGACTACATCAAAAATTGTAAAAGACAAAGAAGGTCACTATATAATAATGAGGTCAACTTATCAAGAGGACATAACAATTCTAAATACAAATGTACTCAACATCACAGCTCCTAAATATATAAAACAAATATTAATATATATGAATGGAGAAAATACAAGGAAACTTCACTATCCAGCTTCCAAAAATGGTTATTCTTCAGAAAGAAAATCTACAGGAAAACATCAGACTGAAACTACACTTTAAGGGGACCAAAGAGATATATAGATATCAGCTACCTATATACCTGTTCGGTCTCTTTAAAGTGTAGTTTAACTGATTTTTTAATGGATATATACATATCAATGGAGACATATATAACTTATGGATATAGAACATTTCATCCAACATTAGCAGAATACATGTTCTTAAGGGCACATGAAACATTCTTTGGGATAGATTGCAGGGTAGGCCACAAAACAGGCCTTAACAAATTTAAAAATATTAAAATTATACTACATATCTTTTTTGACCTCAATGGTATGATACTATAAATAATTTTAAAAATTTCATAAAATTTCCAAATAAATGGAAATTTAAAAGTCGTGACCTTTAACAATGAACGATTCAAAGAGAAAAATAAAAGGGAAATTAAAAAATATCTTGAGACAGTGAACACACAACATGCCAAAACTTATGGGATTCAGCAAAAGGAGTTCTTTTAAGGTAGAAGTTTATATCAATAAATACCTATGTCAGAAAAAGAACATTATTAACAACTTAACATTATTTCTCAAGTTACTAGAAAAATGAGCACACTAAGACCAAAGTCAGTAAAAGAAAGAAAATAATAAAAATCTGAGCAAAAATAAAAAAATAGACTTGAAAACATTAGAAAAGATTGCTGAAACCAAGAGTTGCTATTTTGAAAAAATAAAATCAACAAACCTTTAGCTAGACTAAGAAAAATGAGAAAACTTATGGGCAAGGACTTCATGTCTAAAACACCAAAAGCAATGGCAACAAAAGCCAAAGTTGACAAATGGGATCTATTAAAACTAAAGAGCTTCTGCATAGCAAAAGAAATTGCCGACAGAGCGAACAGGTAACCTACAGAATGGGAGAAAATTTTTGCAATCTACTCATCTGACAAAGGGCTAATATCCAGAATCTATAAAGAACTCAAATTTACAAGAAAAAACAAACAACCCCATCAAAAAGTGGGCAAAGGATATGAACAGACACTTCTCAAAAGAAGACATTTATGCAGCCAACAGACACATGAAAAAATGCTCATCATCACTGGCCATCAGAGAAATGCAAATCAAAACCACAATGAGATACGATCTCATACCAGTTAGAATGGCGATCATTAAAAAGTCAGGAAACAATAGTTGCTGGAGAGGATGTGGAGAAATAGGAACACTTTTACACTGTTGGTGGGACTGTAAACTAGTTCAACCATTGTGGAAGACAGTGTGGCGATTCCTCAGGGATCTAGAACTAGAAATACCATTTGACCCAGCCATCCCATTACTGGGTATATACTCAAAGGACTATAAATCATGCTGCTATAAAGACACATGCACACGTATGTTTATTGTGGCACTACTCACAACAGCAAAGACTTGGAACCAACCCAAATGTCCAACAATGATAGACTGGATTAAGAAAATGTGGCACATATACACTGTGGAATACTATGCAGCCATAAAAAATGATGAGTTCATGTCCTTTGTAGGGACATGGATGAAGCTGGAAACCATCATTCTCAGCAAACTTATCGCAAGGACAAAAAACCAAACACCACATGTTCTCACTCATAGGTGGGAATTGAACAATGAGAACACTTGGACACAGGAAGGGGAACATCACACATTGGGGCCTGTTGTGGGATAGAGGGAGCAGGGAGGGATAGCATTAGGAGATATACCTAATGTAAATGAGGAGTTAATGGGTGCAGCACACCAACATGACACATGTATACATATGTAACAAAGCTGCACGTTGTGCACATGTACCCTAGAACTTAAAGTATAATAAAAATATATATATGTAAAGAAAAATGAGAAAACTTAAAAATCAGAAATGAAGGTGGAGACATTACAATTGATACCACAGAAATACAAAAGATCCTAAGATTGTTAGAAACAATTATATACCAACAAACTGTATAACCTAGAAGTAATGTGTAACTTTCTAGACACAAATATCCTACCAAGACGGAATCATGAAAGAGTAAACCTGAACAGACCAATAATACATAAAGACATTGAATCAACAAAGTTTTCCATCAAAGAAAACCCTAAGGCATGATGGCTTCGTTAATGAACTCTACCAAAAATTGAAAGAAGAATTAATGCCAAGCCTTCTCAAATGCTTCTGATCATTAAAGATGAGGAATGTATTAGTCAATTTTCACGCTGTTGATAAAGACATACCTGAGACTGGGAAGAAAAATAGCTTTAACGGAGTCACAGTTCCAAGTGGCTGGGGAGGCATCAGAATCATAGTGGAAGGCAAAAGGCACTTCTTACATGGCAGCAGCAAGAGAAAATGAGACAGAAGTGAAAGTGGAAATCCCTTGTAAAACCATCAGATCTCGTGAGACTTATTCACTACCATGAGACAAGATGGGAGAAACCACCCCGGTGATTCAACTATCTCCCACCAGTTTCCTCCCACAACACATGGGAATTATGGGGGCTATATTCAAGATGATATTTGGATGCGGACAAAGAGACAAACCATATTGTTCCACCCCTAGCCCCTGCCAAATCTCATGTCCTCACATTTTAAAACCAATCATGCTTTCTCAACAAGTGCCCCAAAGTCTTAAAACTCTTTTCACCATTAACTCAAAAAGTCCACAGTCCAAAGTCTTATCCAAAATAAGGCAAGTCCCTTCCACCTATGAGCCTGTAAAATCAAAAGGAAGTTAATTACATCCTAGATACAATGGGGTTACAGGCATTGGGTAAATACAGCAATTCCAAATGGAAGAAATTGTCCAAAACAAAGGGGCTACAGGCCTCATGCAAGTCCAAAATCCAGCAAGGCAGTCAAATCTTAAAGCTCCAAAATGACCTCCTTTGACTCCATGTCTCGCATCTGGGTCACACTGATAACAAGAGGTGGGTTCCCATGGTCTTGGGCAGCTTCGCCCCTGTGCCTTTGCAGGGTACAGCTTCTTTCCCAGCTGCTTTCACTGGCAGGTGTTGAGTGTCTGTGGCTTTTCCAGACACATGATGCAAGCTGTTGGTAGCACTACCATTCTGGAGCTTGGAGGATGGTGCACTCTTCTCACAGCTCCACTAGACAGCGCCCCAGTGGGGATTCTGTGTGGGGGTGCCCACCCCATATTTCCCTCCTGCACTGCGCTAGCAGAGGTTCTTTATGAGAGTCCCACCCCTGCAGCAAACTTCTGCGTGGACATCCAGGCGTTTCTGTACATCTTCTGAAATCTAGGCAGAGGTTCGCAAACCTTAATTTTTGACTTTTGCGCTTGCTCAGGACCAACACCACATGGAAGCTGCCAAGGCTTGGTGCTTGCACCCTCTGAAGTCATGGTCTAAGCTGTGTCTTGGACCCTTTTAGTCACGGATGGAGCATCTGGGACACATGGCACCAAGTCCCTAGACTGCACATAGCAGTGGGACCTTGGGCCTGGCCCATGACACCATTTTTTTTCCCTAGGCCTCTGGGTCTGTAATGGGGGTGGTTGCCCTGAAGGTCTCCCATGTCCTGGATAAATTTTCCCCATTGTCTTGGTGATTAACATGCAGCTCCTTGTTACTTACGTAAATTTCTGTAGCCAGGTTGAATTTCCTCTCAGAAAATGGGATTTTCTTTTCTATCACATTGTCAGGCTGCAAATTTTTTTGAACTTTTATGCTCTGTTTCCCTTTTAAAACTGAATGCCTTTAACAGCACCCAAGTCATATTTTGAATGCTTTGCTGCTTAGAAATTTATTTTACCAGACACCCTAAATCATCTCGCTCAAGTTTAAAATTCCACAAATCTCTAGGGCAGGGGCAAAATGCTGCCATTCTCTTTGCTAAAACATAGCAAGAGTCACATTTGCTCCAGTTCCCAACAAGTTCCTCATCTCCATCTGAGACCATCTCAGCCTGATTTCATTGTCCATATCATTATCAGCATTTTGGTGAAAGCCATTTATCAAGTCTCTAGGAAGTTCCAAACTTTCCCACATTTTTCTGACTTCTGAGCCCTCCAAACTGTTCCAAACTCTGCCTGTTACCCAATTCCAAAGTTGCTTCCACATTTTCAGCAGCACCACATTTCTGGTGCCAATTTACTGTATTAGTCCACTTTCATGCTGCTGATAAAGACATACCTGAGACTGGGAAGAAAAATAGGTTTAATGGACTCACAGTTCCATGTGGCTGGGAAGGCCTCACAATCATAGTGGAAGGTAAAAGGCACTTCTTACATGGCAGCAGCAAGAGAGATTGAGACAGAAGCAAATGAGGAAACCCTTTTTAAAACAATCAGATCTTGTGAGACTTATTCACTACGACAAGAACAGTATGGGGGAACCACCCCCCACCATGATTCAATTATCCCCCGACCTGGTCCCTCTCACAATATATGGGAATTATGGGAGTACAACTCAAGATGAGATTTGGGTGGGGACACAGAACAAGACCATATAAAGGAAATAATTTTAAAATCATTTTATGAGGCCAACATTACCCTGATACCAAAGTCAGATATGTATAAGAAGAGAATATTACAGGCCAATGTTCCTCATGAATATAGATGCAAAAGTCCTCAACAAAATACTAGCAAAACAAATTTAAAAGCACATTAAAAAATCGTTCACTATGATAAAGTGGTATTTATCCCAGAAATGCAAGGATAATTCAACATACACAAATCTAATTTACCACATTAAGTGAATGCAGGATAAAAACTATATGATTATCTCAATCAATAGATGCAGAAAAAGCATTGACAAAATTGAACATTCTTGATAAAAACTCTCAACCAATGAGGTGTAAAAGGAATTTATCTTAGCACAATATTGATCACATAAGACAAACCCACAGCTTACATCACACTCAACAGGAAAATATTGAAAGCTTTTCCTTTAAGATTGGGAATAAGACAGTGGTGCCCACTCCTGCCACATCTATTCAACATTGTACTGTACATCAACGTACAATGTACTCAACATTGTATTCAACATTGTACTGTACATCCTAGACAGATAAATTTGGCAAGAGAAAGAAGCAAAAGGAATCTAAATTGGAAAAGAAGGTAAATTGTTTCTGTTTGCAGATGACGTGTTTTTATATATAGAAAACCCTAAAGATTTCACCAAAAAACTGTTAGAACTAATAAATGAAGTTAGTAAATTTGCAGGATACTAAGTGAATGTACAAAAATCATTAGCATTTCTATATAATAATAAACCATCCAAGAAATAAATCAAGAAAACTCTTGCATTTAAAATGACATCCAAATATAAAATAAAATGCTTAGGAATAAGTTTGACCAAGGAGGTAAAAACTTGTACGTGGAAAACTATAAAACATTGAAAGAAACTGAAGAAGAAAAGTAAATGGAAAGATATTGTGCGTTCATAGACAAGAAGAATTAATAGTTAAAATGTTTATATTACCCAAGTAATTAAAAAATTCCATGCAATCCATATCAAAATTTCAATGACATATTCCACAAAAAAGGAAAAACAATTTTAAAATTTATATGGAACTACAAATGACTGCTAATAGCCAAAGCAATCCTGAACAAGAACAAATTTGAAGGCCTCACACTACCAGATGTCAAAATATACTACAAAGCTATAATAATCAAAACAATCCCATGCTGACATAAAAACAAACACATAGACTAATGGAATAGACTAGATAGCCCGGAACTAAAACCACACATTTACATTCCATTTCTTTTTGACAAAGAAGCCGATAACACACAATAGGGAAAGGAGTCTCTTCAATAAATGGTGTTAGGAAAACTGAAAATCCACATGCAAAAAATAAAATCAGACCCTCATTCCACACTATATCCAAAAATCTACTCAAAATAGATTAAAGATTTAAATGTAAGACTAAAAAGTCTAAAACTACTACAAGTAAACATATGGGAAAAGCTCTATGACATTGTGCCAGGCTATAATTTTTTGGCTATGACCCCAAAGCATAAGTGACAAAAGCAAGAATAGACAAGTGAGATTTCATCAAACTGAAAAAAACGTTTGCACAGAAAAGGAAACAAAGTGAAGAGAAAACCTATAGAGTGCAAGAATCTATTTGCTAAGAACACATCTGATAAGAGGTTAATATTCAGAAGATGTAAGGAACTCAACTGAATAGCAGGAAAACAACCCAATTAAAAATAGGCAGAGGATCTCTGAGTAAACATTTCTGAAAAGACATACAAATGTTCAACAGTTTTATGAAAAATGCTCAATATCACAAATCACTGGGGAAATTCAAATTAAAATCACAATAAGATATAACCTAATACCTTCTGGGATGGCAATTACAAAAAATACAAAAAGGTAACACTTGGTGAAGATGTAGAGTAAAGGGAACTCTTTCACACTGTTGGGAATATGAATTAGTAGAGCCATTATGAAAGACAATATAAAGTTTCTTCAAAAAAAACCCCTAAAAACAAGAACTACCATATGATCCAGCAATTTCACTTCTGAGTATGTTCACAAAGAAAATGAAATTGCTATGTCAAATAGATACCTGTATGCCTGTGTTCATTGCAGCATTAGCCACAATAGCCATCATATGGAATCAACCTAAGTGTCCATCAACAGGTGAATAGTTAAAGAAAACGTGGTGTATATATACACAATGAAATACTATTCAGCCTAAAAGAAAAGAAAATTCTGTCATTTGTGACAACATGGAAGAACCTGTAGGACATTTTATTAGAAATAAGCCATGTACAGAAAGACAAATACTTCATGATCTCACTTATGTGTAGAATCTAAAAATTTGAAATCATAAAAATAGTAGAATGGTGTTTACTAGGGTCTGCTGAGGGTGAGGTGGATGTAGGCAGATTTTGGTCAAAAAATACAAAGTTTTAGGAAGAATAATTTCAATAGATCCATTGTACAACATGGGAACTATAGTTAATAACTATTATATCTTTAGAAGATCAATAAGAATAAATTATAAGTGTTCTCACCACAAAAAATAAGTATGTGAGGTAATGTTAATTAGCTTGATTTAGCTGTTCTACAAGGCAAATATATTTCAAATGCTATAAATATATTTTATTTGTTAAATACATTTAAAAGTGTTTTTAAAGAAGAGATGTAATATGGTACTGTGGTTGGCTTTACTGTGAATCACATTTACAAAGATATATTATAAATTTTTTTGGTTTAATTAAAAATAGTGATATAATACTTTGAGAGGCTGGGTAGGGACGGTTGAGTTGTAAGACTGTTTAATCCTTATCCATCCCTATTTTATTTACTAAAGTAATTAAAAAGTATATACCCGATTATATTAATGAGCAATGCAAATACTTTTTAAAACTGTAGTGCTAATTTAAATAATTTGAGTCAAAAGTGGTTTCTGAGTAAAGAGACAAAAGGTTTGGACAAGTGGGAGCAGTAAATCTTTTTTTAATATAACCTGTTTAGTACTATTTCATTTTTAAATCATGTACATTTATTCAATAAGTGAAGTGTGTATTTCTGAACACATATATATATACAGTTATTCCTTGAACATAGGTTTGAACTATGTGAGTCCACTCATACATAGATTTGTTTTCTGCCTGTGCCACCTCCCCTCAGATTACTCAACATGAAGACCACTAGTTTGAAGACCTTTGTAATGATCCACTTCCACTTAATGAATAGTAAATGTATTTTCTCTTATCATTTTCTTTCTTTAGCTTACTTTTTTGTTAAGAATACAACAAATAATGCATATAACATAAAATATTTGTTAATCAACTTTGTTATTGGTAAGGCTTCTATTCAACAGTAACCAACTGTTAAGGTTTTGGGAAGTCAAAAGTTACATGCAAATTTTCAACTGTGCAGGGGTCTGCATCTCTAATCCCTGTTTTGTTCAAGGGTCCACTGTACATACATACATATACACATATAGATGTATATATGTATGTTTGTGAATACTAAAATATATATGAAAAATGCATCTGTGGGTTTGAATGAAATTACCCAAGGTGTGGTATAAAAGCAGAATTTTATTTTGCTGTGCAGAACTCTTTAATTAGATCCCATTTGTCAATTTTTGCTTTTTGTTGTAATTGCTTTTGGCAATTTCAACGTAAAATCATTGCACATGTCTATGTCCTGAATGGTATTGCTTAGATTTTCTTCTAGGGTTTTTATAGTTTTGGGTTTTACATTCAAGTCTTTAATTTCTTGAGTTAATTCTTGTATAAGGTGTAAGGAAAGGTTTAGTTTCAATTTTCTGCATATGGCTAACCAGTTCTTCCAGCACCATTTATTAAATAGGGAATCCTTTCCCCCCTTGCTTGTTTTTGTCAGGTTTGTCAAGGATCAGATGGTTGTAGATGTCCGGTTTTATTTCTGAGCTCTCTATTTTGTTTCATTGGTCTATGTGCCTATTTTTGTATCAGTACAATGTTGTTTTGGTTCTTCTAGCCTTGTAGTAGAGTTTGAAGTTGGGTAGTGTGATGCATCTAGCTTTGTTCTTTTGCTTAGGATTGTACTGGCTATATGAGCTCTTTTTTGATTCCATATGAATTTTTAAATAGTTTCTTCTAATTCTATGAAGAATGTCAATGGTAGTTTAATGAGAATAGCATTGAATCTATACATTTCTTTGGGCAGTATGGACATTTTCATGATATTGATTCTTCCTATGAAGCATGGAATGTTTCCATCTGTTTGTGTATTCTCTGATTTCCTTGACCAGTGGTCTGTAGTTCTTGAAGAGGTTCCTCACTTTCCTTGTTGCTGTATTCCTAGGTATTTTATTCTCTTTGTGGCAATTGTGAATGGGAGTCATTCATGATTTGGCTCTCTGCTTGTCTGTTTTTGGTGTATAGGAATGCTTGTGATTTCTGTATATTGATTTTGCACAGCAAAATAAATTATCAGAGGAAACAGACAACCTATAGAATGGGAGAAAGTTTTTGAAATCTATCCATCTGACAAAGGTCTAATATCCAGAATGTACAAGGAACTTAAGCAAATTTACAAGAGAAAACAAATCAACCCCATTAAAAAGTGGGCAAAGGACATTAACAGACACTTCTCAAAAGGAGACATACATGCAGCCAAGAAACATATGACAAAAAGCTCAACATCACTGATCATTAGAGAAATGCAAATCAAAACCACAGTGAGATGCCATGTCACACAGTCAGAATGGCAATTATTAAAAAGTCAAGAAACAACAGATGCTGGCAAGGTTGCAGAGAAATAGGAACACTTTTACACTGTTGGTGGGAATGTAAATTAGTTCAACCATTGTGGAAGACAGTGTGGTGATTCCTCAAAGATTTAGAACTGGAAATACCATCTGATCCAGCAATCACATTGTTGGGTGTATACCCAAATGAATGTAAATCATTCTATTGTAAATATACAAGCACATATATGTTCATTGCAGCACTATTCACAATAGCAAAGACATGAAATCAACCCAAAGGCCCATCAATGATAGACTGCATAAAGAAAATGTGGCACATATACACCATGGAATACTGTACAGCCATAAAAAGGAACAGGATCATGTTCTTTGCAGGGACATGGATGAAGCTAGAAGCCATTATCCTCAGAAAACTAAAGCAGGAACAGAAAACCAAACACTGCATGTTCCCAATAGGTGGGAGCTGAATAAGTACGCATGGACACAGGGAGGGGAACAACACACACTGGGGCTTGTGTGGGGAGTGCATCAGGAAAAATAGCTAATTCATGCCAGGCTTAATACCTAGGAGGTGAGGGATAGGTGCAGCAAACCACCATGGCACACATTTACCTATGTAACGAACCTGCACATCCTGCACATGTACCGTGGAACTTAAAAGTAAAAACAAAATCCACAGAGAAAAATGTCTTTCATTATAATCTCAAAGGATTACTTGACTCCTCCAAACAAATAAACTAGTGATTTGTGACAGTAGGTGCAAGTTAACATCCTTTGGCCAAATCTATCCTTCAGATATGTTTTCTTTGGTTACAAAGTGTTTTAAGAGTTTTGCATTTATATACATTTTGTCTGACAATGCATTGTTCAATTTAGCACAGCCCTTCACACTTTCTAGCTTTCAACGTCTGGCTTACTTTACACAAGAAAGTTCCCTGCCTCATTCCAGAGGCATTTGATTTGTAATTCCTGGGCAAGTGAATACTATGGGGATGGGGAGACAAGGAAATGTCCATAAGAACCTGGGGACAGGGTAAAGGAGACAAAAGTTTCAAAACAGAGTAGATAATTCAATGGTAAAATTAGGCAACTAAAACTCATAATTGGAATTATCACAGACTCTAAGCTAGGTTAGCCACCTTTTTACTTTCAGTGCTAACCCCTGCTAATCTTTTGGGGGTGTTAGCTGATGCTATATATCAAATCCAGTTGAGCTCATTAAATATAATTACACATAGAGAACATTTACTGCAGTCATGCAAATTATAAAGATATACACACACCTGTGTTCTATAAATGATTTGTTTTATCTATAATATGGTGAAATTATGGTACATTGTAATGAAGAAATGCAAGGCTTTCCCTAATACTTTAGTCTCAGTTTTCGAACTAAAAAACCACTCTAGCTCTATCATACTTTTAATGTAATACTGTCAGTGATGTTGTATTTTAATATTTGCCACCTAGATAAATGAAAATGGCTACAAATTATTATTTTAAATTGTCACAGATGTTTTCTGATTTATCTTTGGAGAAAGTTAATTTTTGTTTTTGGAAAAATTATTGTCTTTATTATGCAGAATTACAGCCAAAATTCTTTTCTAAAATGGAAGCATTTAAATTAGTGAGGAGATAGATCACTTTGCATAATATATATTGTTATCTTCTTTCTTGCCGGGGTTTTATTTTAACAGATTATATCTAATTGGAAAAATCTGAACCAGATCCTGGAGGAGTCAGTGAGCAGGAGAAGGGCCTAAGCTGTACAAATGAGGAGCCAGGTCAACAGCCAATAGAAATGCCAGATAGCAACAACTTGTGTAAGGCCACGGACCATGGATAGGCAATACACAGCTTTTTGGTTTATTTTTGTCAGTGTAACACATTGCTACCATGCCATGTATATGTGTGTGTGTGTGTGTGTGTGTGTGTGTGTACACGTGTATATATGTGTGTATATATGTGTATGTGTGTGTGTATATATATACACACATATATACACACACATATATATGCACATATATAAATTGCTACAATGCCATATATATGCATATAAGTGTATATGTATACACACATGTTTACTTAAAGTAATTAAGACAGGGATATACATTCTTGGTGAAAACCCTACAAGTATGCATCCAGTAATTTCAGACTAGTTAACTTAGACCAATTTGTAAAATAAAATTTTGTTTTGAGAGTAAAATATGATTTTTCTTTTCTTGCAAAGTGTCGAAGCAAAGACTATGGATTGGAAATGCTCCACTCTTTGCTTAGAAGAGCAACCTATATAGGGTTTTGGGTGCTTGAGTTATGGAAAATTAGAGGCTATGTTCATTTTCATTTGTTCTTATGAGGAAAAATAAAGGGGAGAATTTTGAGACTGGATTTTAGCAAGATGTGTCTGTGGCTAAAAGTTTATCGAGATGGTACTTGAATGGATAAGAGAATTTCACTGGGCATGGGGCAACTTTCTAGGGGCCTTAACAAACCATTTGTTCAGGGATTCACAAGACTGAAATCAAGATATCAGCCAGCTATATGCTCATCTGGACACAACTAGAGAAAGGACACTTCCAAGCTCCCTCAAGTTGGCATTATTCAGTTTCTTGTTTTTGTTGTACTAATGTCCCTGTTTTCTTTGTGGCTGTCAGAGACTGCTGTCAACTCCTAGGAGATGCCCTTAGGGCCCTTGTCACATGGTCTTTCTACAGGCAGTTCACAGTGTGGAAACTGGCTTCTTCAAGGCCAGCAAGAGAAAATTTCTTGTGCTGAATTTCTTTCTTCAGGAAGAACCTAGTCTCTTTTAATGGTTCATCTAATGATTTCGTGCCCACCCAGGATAATCTGTCTTCTGAGTGGCTGAAAATCAACTAATTTGGAACCTATGGCCTTCTAACTGACAAGTCAGTCTAACTTAGTAAGTCAAAAGAAAAAAATGGTTAATGAAATACAATGAACAATACAACTTTTTTGTTCTAACCCTTCAAAATACTTTTAAAAATAATATAAAGAGTATTTCTACTATAGCTATCACTCAAGTGTTACAGTGGGATATAATAATTATCATGCTAATCAATTTACTTCTAAAAGGGGGAACATTCCACTTAAACTTGAATTGAATGGCAACATACTTATACATTGTATTTATGCAATGTAAAAATTAAAGCCACTACTTAATGGTTACTAATCAGTGACCAATAAAATAGTATTCAGGGCAAAGAAACTGAATTAAGTAAAAACATATGACCGTTAGTGACTCAAAAAGATAATATTCATCAGTTACGTAACCATGTTGTATTAGTGTGTTCTCTCATTGCTATAAGAAAATACCTGGCCAGGTGCGGTGGCTCACGCTTGTAATCCCAGCGCTTTGGGAGGCCAAGGTGGGCAGATCACTTGAGGATATTAGTTCAAGACCAGCCTGGGCAACATGGTGAAACCCCATCTCTACTAAAAATACAAAAAATTAGCTGGGCCTAGTGGTGGCCACCTGTAATCCCAGCTACTCAGGAGGCTGAGGCAGGAAAATCCCAGGAGATGGAGGTTGCCGTCAGCTGAGATCATGTCATTGCAATCCAGCCTGGGCAACAAGAGTGAAACTGTCTCAATTAAAAAAAAAATACCTGAGACTGGGCAGTTTATAAAGAGAGGTTTAATTGGCTCATGATTCTGCAGGCTATACAGGAAGCATAGTGGCTTTTGCTTCTGGGGAGGCCTCATGAAGCTTCCAATCATGGCAGAGGGTGAAGTGGGAGCAAGGCAACTTACATGGTGGAAACAGGAGGAAGGGCAGGGAGGTGCTACACACTTTTGAAAAACTAGATTTTGCAAGAACTCACTATCATGAGAAGGGCACCAAGGGGATGGTGCTAAACCATTCATGAAGGATCTGCCCCCATCATCGAACCACCCCCCACTAGGCCCCACCTCCAACCTTAGGGATTACAATTACTGTGAGATTTGGTGGGGATCCAGACCCAAACCATATCACATGTACGTAATAAATGCAGAGGAGAATGTTAGGGTAAGGAGCTTGTATAATTTTGCCTTGCCTGTCTCAACAGTTGAGACATTTTTGAAAGTGTTTCTAACCTTGACGCTATTTTATAAAGATATATTTTCTTTTCTAGATTTCAATTTTTTCTTTTATTTCCTTGAGTATACTTTATTCCTCAAACTCTGTAACAATTCCTATGTTCCAGGATTCCAGTCTCTGATTTTCCCTTTTGCCTTCAACTGTTTTACTGGCAATTCCACCTATTTCTACATCTCCATTTGCCCAATCAATTACTCATTATCTCACCAGTTCACCTCTTCACCAGATCTGCTCGTGTCATGAGGCACTGTAAGCTTTGAGACCCACACTACTGGGGGCACTCAACCAGATTTAGTGCATATGTAAGATTAAATGACAAAGAGGAATTGAGCTTGCAGATAGAGTTAAAATTACTAATCAAATGAAATGACCTTAATATAGGGATACTATTCTGGATTATGTGGGTGGGCCCAATGTAAACACAAGGGGCTTTAAGGTATAAGAGGAAGATGAAGGAAGAGAGATAAATTGATACAGAGAACTATAGAGAAGGAATCAGAGCAAGATGGCTGGATAGGAGCCTGCAGCTATCATCTCCCCAGCGAGAACACCAAATCGAACAACTATCTACACAAGAAAGCACCTTCATGAGAACCACAAATCAGCTTGGGTACCAAGTTGGTTACAGTGGAACAGAGCAACAAGAAGGCTTCTGGGGTCCCTGATTCCAGGCCCTGGCTCCTGGATGGCAGTTTTGCACTTACCCTGAGCCAGAGGGGAGCCTACTGTCCTGAAAGGAGAGGCTTGAGACTGGCCACATTCACCAAAGCAGATTGAAGACCCCTTAGGCCTTGAGTGAACATCAGTGGTGGCTCCTGAATGACAAATGAGTCAATGAAGAAATTAAGAAATTAATTTATTGAAACAAATGAAAATATAAACATGACTTACTGATACCTATGTAATACAGTGAAAGCATCAGTAAGAGGAAAGTTTATAGCAATAAGCACCTACATCAAAAAAGCAGAAAAACGTCAAATAAACAGAGTAATGCTGCATATTACACAACTTAAATAGCAAGAGCAACCTAAACCCAAAATTAATATAGCAAAAAATATAATGAAGATCAGAGCAGAAATAAATGAAATTGAAATAAAAAAACACTTAAATGAAAAGTGGTTACTTTGAAAAGATAAAATTGACAAACCTTTAGCTTGACTAAGAAAAAAAGAGAACTAAATAAAATCAAAGATGAAAAAGGAGGGATTACAATTGATTCCACAGAAATTCAAAGGATCATTAGTGACTATGAGCAACTATTTGCCAATACATTGGAAAACCTAGAAGAAATGGATAAATTCTTAGACACATACAGCTTACCAAAAGTGAACTCTCATACACTGCTGGTGGGAATGTAAATTAGTAAAACCATTATGGAGAAGAGTTTGGAGGTTCTTAAAAAAAACTAAGATCCGTATGATCCAGCAATCCCACTACTAAGTATACACTCAAAAGAAAGGAAATCATTATATTGAAGAGATAACTGCACTCCCGTGTTTATTGCAGCACTATTCACAATAGCCAAGATTTGGAAGGAAGCTAAGTGTTCATCAGCAGATGAGTGGATAAAGAAAATGTGGTACATATACATAGTGTAGTACTATTCGGCCATAAAAAAGAATGAGATCCTGTCATATGCAACAACATGGATAGAACTGAAGGTCCTTATATTAAGTGAAATAAGCCAGGTACAGCAATACAAACCTCACATGTTCTCACTTATTTGTGGGAGTTAAAAAATTCTAAGCAATTGAAATCATGGAGATGAAGAGTAGAATGATGATTACTATAGGCTGGGAAGGGTAGTGAGGAGATGGGAAGGTAGGGGACAGTTGGAATGGTTAATGGGTACAAAAATATAGTTAGAAAGAATAAGATCTAGCATTTGATAGCACAACAGAATGACTACAGTCAACAATAATTTGTTGTGCATTTTAAAATGATGAAAAGATTATTGCATTTTTTGTAACACGAAGAAAGGATAAATGCTTGAGGTAATGGATACCACATTTATGATGTGATTATTACACATTGTATGCCTGTACCGAAATATGTACCCCATAAATATATACAATTACTCTGTACCCACAAAAATTAAAAAAATAAAAAATAAAGTTAGATTGTGGTGATGGTGTCACAACCACGTGGATATACAAAACACAAGGAATCATATAGTTAAATGTGTGAATTATATGGTATATAACTGATAATAAAGCTCTTTTAAAAAATCTTTTGATAAAATAGAGCTATAGTGAGACTCAATGTTGTGGGCTTTGAAGAAGGAAGGTGTGTCTATGTGCTAAGGAATGTACTCATTCTCCAGAAGCTAGAAAAGTCAAGGAAAGATTCTTTACTAGAGTCTCCAGGAGGCAACCTAGTCTGCTGATACCTTGACTTTAGCCCAGTGATACTTGTGCTAGACTTCTGAAAAACAAAACTGTAAGGTAATTGTGTTGTTTTAAGCTACTAAGTTCGTGGTCATTTATTATGGCACAATAGAAGACTAATAAACTCCCCTTGCGGTTCTGCCCTTTTTGCTCCCATTGATCCTTCCTGGCTCTGGCCAACGTTGGTTTCTCTTCCATGTTTCCCTCCAGTTATTCTTCCAGTTATTGTCTACAATTATTGCTTCCAGTTATTCTTGTCTACAATCAGCAAACTTACCTTCTCTAATTCTTTTCTTTATTTCATCTCCTTATTTTAAATGATTCTGAATTACCAATGCTTAGGTTAAACCAAAGACTAATTACTGACTATATAAGCTTTTTACAACAATTCTTTCATGTGACTGAATATGCATCCAGATTTCAGAATAACTGCTCTGTCTGAAAACTGGGTCTCCCCTCAATACTATTTTTAAAGTCTTCTTCCTTTGGAAGCTCTTTCTGAAGTAACAGGAGCTGTTAATATTTTGGTAATTAAGTATTGCTGCTTCCAAAACATTTTAAAAAATAATTTCTTCAGTGAAGCTGATGTCAGTATGCTTTATGTCTTTTTTTCCTCTTTACTCTTTTGCTGTCTTCTATTTCTAGGTCCTTACCTAAATTAATATCAATTTTGAAACCTATAATTTTCTTTTCATTCTAACTCCTGGCATAATTCTAAGATACTTCAATATTACCACCTGAGGAATATATTATTCTCCCTTTATTAATCAAGGCTGCCAGGGAATGATTCTCAAACAGGGAAGGGAAGAGTATATCGAGATTAATCATTGTAGACATTGCTTCGTGGTCCTCTGGGCAGCCAAAGTGGTGGAAAAAAATGATTGTTCTGTATTTTTGATCACCATTTCCTTCCTATCAATTATGTGCTCTTTATCTTTTGCCATGATTTTGTTATTTCACCCTTCATCCTGAAAACAGTATGTTCTTTAGATCACTGGCATTCCCTGTTCCATAGACCACGTGTGTATTCTCAGAAGGTTCAGTAACTCATGGAGTGGCATTACATTTTCTTTCATCTAAAGTTTCTTTTTTGGTGTAGTCAAAGGCATATTCTACATTTCTATAGGAGCTGCCGTTCAGATTCAGAGAAGCGATTGCCCAAGTTGAGGTAAGATTCAGCAATTCCAGGAGAAAGCAGGTCAGGGAAGAGGGACATAGTCCATAGGTTTCTGAGCACTGTTGCTGCACATGTTGGTTTAACAACATGCAACCTCCAAAGTCTCATTCATGGTCAGCTGGGTCAATAGTTGCTGCAATGAAAATCTTCCATCTCTATTATTTCCAGATTTTTCTCCATTTACCTAAAGAAATTTTCCATTAGTTCACAAAGGTGGCCAGCTTTTCTGGATATGACTTAAACACACTTTGACAATCCAAATTAAAAAAAAATGCTCTTGACCTCTAAGCTTTCTTTACGTGTGGCTCCATGCTTGCCATCTCTTTTTAGGCTAGGCTTTCCATCTATCCTCCACTTCTATTCATTTATTTTAAAGATATTTAAATAATTTGTCATAATACAGAACTGTTGTGTCAGCCTGGGGCTTGTGTTCTTAACTGACATCTTTTTATTTATTCAACTTTGCTCTGTATCTTAAGAACAAGAAAATGTTTTTGTTTGTGGTATGTGGATGACACTTTGTTTATGCAAGAGTTTCCTAATTGTGAAAGCTTTCTCTTCTCATTTAATTTTTTGTTTTATTGTGACAAGGCTTGGACACCTTCTATTACTGGGACATCATTTTCTCAGAATTCCAAGGAACATTAACTGAGAAGATGATGTAACACAAAAAATGATCTTTTAAAAATATATTAGATAAAGATTGAAAAACTAGTCATAGATTGTTCAGTCATCCAGGGCTGTACAGATATGAGACCAATGTGAAACTATAAGGTGATTGTATGAATTAGTAAAACAGTACACTGACCTTGAGGGTTAAGTCAAAAGGAGTGTAAAGGAGATGGATAAATCTCAACCACACAAAGATTTTGAGCCAAGCCATACTAATTAAAATAGTTGCTACTAGAGAGAATATGAAACACTGTATGAGACATATGGAGTGAGCAGTTTCTCCATGAAATTAACTGAAAGCTCTTTGGTGAGAAAAGCTGATTCTAGATATGTAAAGCTGTTTTGCAGATGTTATATTAAAATTCTAGCATCCCCATTTGAGCAGCTGCTAATTTGCCTTTGACATAATAAATGCAGTCCTTCAAAACTTATATTCAACTTATAGGTGCTGCTGACAAGTACAATTACCCACAAGTTGTTAGGATTCTTAGTTCCCATAAATGGGCATTGACAGTGTTGCAAGTTAGTTTTGCAGTGTTTCAGACCCGGAGATATTATGTTTGGTGTGCAAAATTTATATTGAATGCTTTGCAAGTGAATTTGCTAAGCGTTAGTTCCATGCCATGAAACTCACCAGGTTTCCATGCAACACAGAAGTATAAAGAAATTATTAATGTATTGGCCAACAATAATAAAGATTAACAACAACAAACAACAAAAAAACAATGAGTTCACTAAGAAGATCAGGTAATAGGAAATATTAACACAATTATAATTTACAGATATTTTCTTTTTTATGTTTATCTTTTAAACTTATTATTGTTATCGTTTCCTTCAGTACACACTAGTTTGGTGAGACTTGGAGAAAGGCCAGGAATAAGCCCCAATTCAAGAAACAATTCCAGGATTAACAGATACGTGGATAATAGAGAATTGACAAAAGATCATGCCTATTTTACCAATGAGAAACTGGTTGGTTAACTTGGGTTGCAAACTGAAAACAGATTTATACTAAAATGGCAGGTGTCTCCAGATCTTAAATGCAGATCTCTATCTCTGAGCTAATCTGCCTCTAATCTTCAGTGGCATTCCTCTGAATTTTTCTCCCTCAAATAATCTATACATTATTAAATTTTGTTTATACTGCCATTTTAAGAAACACGTTTTAAAACTTTAAACATGGGAAATTTTTTCTTTCTTTTTTTTATTATACTTTAAGTTGTAGGGTACATGTGCACATTGTACAGGTTTGTTACATATGTATCCATGTGCCATGTTGGTGTGCTGCACCCATTAACTCATCACTTATATTAGGTATGTCTCCTAATGCTATCCCTCCCCCATCCCCCCACCCCACAATTTACAGATATTTTCAAGGAAAATATCATGTTTTCTCCCTATAGTTAGTATTTTTTACTTACAATCCTGACATATGTAACATAGTTGTTAAGAAACATGTTCACACCCAGGTTAACATTTACTATTCTGTTATTTTCTAATTATATTTGTCTTTTCCTACAACTTCTCATATTAATGAATTAAGAAAACAAATTTCTATCTGTAGCAATTACATAAATTTCCTGTAAATAAGTGCTAGTAAAAAGTAAAAACAAAAATAGGGAAAATCATGGAATAATAAAGTAACTGTCTTGTGGATACCAGATTTTCATTAAGCCTATTTCAGCAAAAAGGGACTACTAATGGGGTTTTTTCATGGTTGTAAAATATTTAGTCAACATTGAGGAAAATACTCTTCCAAAACTAGGTTTTCTTATATCCTAGATATACTACTCTTTTGTTTGAGATACAACATTAAAGAAAAACAAAACAAAAAACTTATAAACAGTTTTAGGAGGTATAATTGGTATTCAAGGATAATATGAAATTGGCCTATTTGATCTGCCAAGTAGGCCAAGTGAATCAAGTGAATTGCCCATATTACTACCCAACATGGGTCAAGTGAGAGCTTGCTTTATTGTTTTCTATATGTGGTTCTCAATATAATGTTTCTGACTATAGCAGCTTTGAGGACAGTATAATTATCTCATCCTTTGGGAGATAGTGCCTACAAGAAAAAGTGTAATCCAGATATGTGATTACTATATATATATATTTTTTCTTTTGCAATTACCTGTGGAAGCATTTGTTTTAGAAAAAAAGAGCTCACCAGGAGCTCATGAATTTAGATTTTTAATATCTAATGTTGAAAGTTCTTTAATAATTTCGTTTACCTGGTATCTACATGTATTGGCATCTAAACTGTCTTAAACATTTTTAGGTCCATTTTTATTAAGGGAAGCTCAAAGTGTAGATATTACTGAGATTAATATAGTCCTTTAAAATGCTGTCATAGGAAGATATTACAGAAAATAAGCACATACCATTTCATGCTCTTTAAACAGGCACAATTTTAGGGGTATGTGTGTATATATATATATATATATATATATATGACTTATGCTAAGCTCCATGAATACAGGTACTTTGCCCTTGTGCTCACCACTGAATACTTAGAGCTTATAGAACTTGACAAATTTAGATTTTCTGACATGGCATTGGTTTTCATTGAATTTTTAGGAAATGCATTCACCATCTCAAGACTTTTTGTCATGCGTTTTGGAAACTCCGTCCAGCATAAATACAAATTAACATTTCACTGAAGTATTTGTTTTATTGTCTTAATTAGACTCTGCCACAAGGGAAGCCTTTTATTTGAAGATGCTCCTAAAGGAGTGGATGGTTTTCCTGTTTGTCGTAGTTAATATTTAGTGTCAACTTGATTGAAGAATGCAAAGTATTGTTCCTGGGTGTGTCTGTGAAGGTGTTGCCAAAGGAGATTAACACTTGAGTCAGTGGACTGGGAGAAGAAGACCCACTCTCAATCTGGGTGGGCACCATCTAATCAGCTGCCAGTGTGGCTAAAATAAAAGACAGAGGAACATGGAAGGACTAGACTTGCTGAGTCCTCCAGTCTTCATCTTTCTTCTGTGCTGGATGCTTCCTGCCCTCAAACACTGGACTCCAAGTTCTTCAGCTTTTGGACTCTTGGACTTACACCACTGATTTTCCAAGGGCTCTTGGGTCTGTGGCCACAGATTGAGGGCTGCACCATTGCCTTCCCTACTTTTGAGGTTTTGGGACTTGGACTGGCTTCCTTGCTCCTCAGCTTGCAGACAGCCTATTGTGGGACTTCACTTTGTGATTGTGTGAGTCAGTACTCCTTAATAAACTCCCATTCATACATACATCTATACTATTAGTTCTGTCTCTCTAAAGAACCTTGACTAATACACCATTTTATGGACCGCTGGGTATCACTCTGATAATGCTTATTCTCAGCTCTTATTACTATATAAAGCTCATTACGCACATACTCGTTTTCATGTAAATCTTTTTTTTTGCAGTTATGCCATGTGATTATAAAAAATGCCTCCTCTAAGAAATATTATCTAGTTATTATCTACTATTTACCAGTGCTTCATCCCAACACCTGTCATGATTTATGGGACTTCTATAGCTATGAAGATTAATCTTGTAACTTTCATGCCACATATCCCTAACTTTCAATTTTTTTTTTTTTTTTTTTTTTGAGATGGAGTTTTGCTCTTGTTGCCCATGCTGGAGTGCGATGGCGCGATCTCGGCTCACTGCAACCTCCACCTCCCAGGTTCAGGCGATTCTCCTGCCTCAGCCTCCCGAGTAGCTGGAATTACAGGCACCTGCCACCACACCCAGCTAATTTTTGTGTTTTTAGTAGAGATGGGGTTTCACCATATTGTCCAGGCTGGTCTTGAACTCCTGACCTTAGGTGATCTGCCCTCCTCAGCCTCCCAAAGTGCTAGGGTTACATGCATGAGCCACCGTGCCTGGCCTTAACTTTTTCAACTTTAACAAACTTCACTTCCACAAAATTCTGCCTCCTGTGTTCATGTTTACGTGCCAGTCTTTGACACCATCCAGGATTTCATCGATTTTTGAAATTATAAACTATAGCACTCATAGAACTTCTTACATAGTGTAGAGGTTGCAATTTTCTAATTACTCAATTAAATTACTATAAAATCTTAGAAAGGATGAAAATTCATAATGATACTAAAAACAAAGACTGGTGGAGGTAATCAAAGACACAGATGAAAGGAGAGGGAATGTATCATGAAGTTAAAACTGGAGTGAGAACACCCTACCCATACTTCCCAGTTAGCAAGCCTAGCTTTTATCTTATGAAGAAAATGCCAACTGCTAAAAGGCAAAAAGACACATTACACTTTTTCACATGTGAGCAGATAGAAGTAGAAATGAGTAGGCCTATTATTTCCAGAAGGATCTGTGTGTTTTAATTCTGAATACCATTAAAAATAGAAAACAGATATTTTATACCATTTTTCCTGTTTACAGCAGCATTTATGTCCAAAAGTTTGTCCTTCTTGAATCTTATATTCATTGTCTTTAATGATGCAGAATGTTTTCCTTTTTGGCTGTACATGTACTCTGTTTTTCATTTTTGAGCATGTGGAAATCTAAGACTGTCTTCACCATAAAGAGAAGGTGCCTTTTTTTCATTCCTTTTACTATCTGTGCTGGAATTTTCCTCTACTCTTAACCACTTGAAGTACTAATTGATGTGTAAAGTGTCTAACCCCATTTCTGGAATACAGCTTCTTGTGTATACTAAGTAAGCCTCTTTGTATGATATGGCACCTCCTTAACTTCTCCCTGGTATGAATAGATTGTTTTTTCCATAAGAGTTTTAAGCAGTCTGAATTTGCTATTTTATGTTTTATAATGTGCTTACTAGAAGGAACAGTAAAATTACCACCCCTAACTACACTATTCAACTCCTGTAACTTTTACCATTTGACTTGAGTCTTCATCCACATGAAAGGACTGAGAATTGCAGTCCTAAAAAAGTTAATGAAAAGAATGGGGGTATGAACTTGCTCTAGCTATGCTAGAAATCACTTTTACACAGTCTCTGCTCTCCCCTCAGGCAGTCAGTGGTCCAGGTCTGTGAAGCAATAAGAGTATAACATAACGGTTAATGGTACAGGCTTCTGAGTATGATTATTGTGCTATTGCATATGAGTCCTAATAGAACTAGTGACCTAATTACTTGATTTATGAACTTGCCTGAGTCTCTGAATCCATTAGACCTTTTCATTGCCTAATGCATGAAATGTCTATGATAATATACATAAGAATATAAGATAGTGTATGTATTGCACTTTGGCCATTAGGCCAAGGATGTACACTTGACCTGTGGTGGGATTATAAGAATCTTCGAGAATATTAGACTTAGTTATCAATGACATGGTAGTTTTTCTCCACTGTGGCAAGAACTGTAACATGGAAACTATGGTATAATCGTACCATAATTTGTATGTAATGCATACAAAAATAAAATTAGAGAAAAGAGAGAAGATCTAGTGTTCAAAAAATCAGTAGAATGACTACAGTAAATAATAATCTATTATACATTTTAAAATAGCTTGTAGAGAATAATTTGAGTGTTTTCACTGTAAAGATAAATGTGTAAGGTGGTGGATATTCCCAACTACCCTGTTTATTACACATTATATAAATGTATCAAAATATCACATGAATTCCCCAAATTTGCACAATAACTATTATATATCAATACAAAAGAATAGGTTAAGATAGTTGATGATGACAGATCTCAAAATAGTGATAACCTCTGGGGAAGTACTAACTGGGAATGAGCACAAGGTAACATTCTTGAGTTCTAGAAATGTTCTGTGCCTTAACTTGTAGTTGTTTCATGGGTTTGTGTATGTGTGCAAATAAAATGACATTGAGTTGTACACTTGATATAAACTATATTATTTTTATCTACTTAAAAAGAGGATAATCAGATGTGCAGAGCGAAGACAACATAAGAGACTGAAAAAGCATCTTGACAGTTTTCTAGGTCCTGGCTCCAGTCACCCTGTGATCCCTGGCAGATCTCCATCTTTGGGTTCTGTGAGATAGATGTGTTTTTTAATGACAAATTTATCCTAGTTCTATTACAATTATATGAGGAAAACTAGCTCCAATTTGCTTCTATCCCTTGAGAACAATCCATGGTAACTAACACATCTATCTTTTTTGTGCATCTGAGTTCTAGACACACAATTCTTTTTATATTACCCTGTGTTCTTGTATTCCTCTGAATATTTGCTTGCAATGCAAAATGAACAACCAAAGAGTACTATCTAATGCTCTTTATTCATTTATATACTCATTGAAATTGTATTTCCTTTGTTGTTTAGATGAACTAGCTCACTCATGAAGTCTTCCTCACCCAGGAAGTTTTCCCTAGTTCCTCAGTTGAATTAACTGCCCTTCCGCTATGTACCCATGGACGTATGTACCTACTCTGTGGAAGTTATTTAATTTTGTGTCACATTGTAATTACTTAGACTTGCTAGTTTCTGACTCCTTGAAGGACAGGACCATTTATTTTTATTTGATGTTCCCTTTGAACCTAATACATTTGCATATAATATGTATTCAATAAAACATATATGCGAATGGTTATATAAGAAAATCCATTGGCACAACCCTTTAATCATCACTTTCATCACATCTAGTAAGAGTTAGTTGAAGCCTAACTATCTTTTGTGTGTGTGCGTGTGTGTGTGCACACAATAGTATATCACAGAAGAGCAAGTAAATATCTGTAGTTGAGTGATGAGGAAAAAAGCAAGTTAAAAATCAAAGCAGCAAGTTTCATTCAAGCAACTGTAAGTGGTATTCCAGGAACATAAAGCATAAAGTTTGATGAGGGTAGTAATGATAGATGAGGAGGGCAAAATAGCCATGAGCCAGGTAAAAGGGGGCCTTTTATAACGCAGTAAAGAGAAAACAAATTGCCAAATTTATGGAATGTAAATTAAGTCATTTGCAGGTATATTTACTTTTCCAGGTCACTGAAAGAACATTGAGTGAATGTGGCTGTAATTTTAAAGATAATGCCTTAATGGCCAGAAAGACTAATTTGGTTCTGTGGCATCTAGATAAGGTGATCTACTTTTAGTAGCACAGATTGATTCAAAATTAAAGAGGCTTTTAAACACTCTGAATTAATTGCTTTAATTTTTTATGTCTGAGTATAGATGTGCTATATCCACTGTTGAATTTCAGTCCCTGGTCATCATCCTCTGGGCAGGAACCCTAAGTTCAAAGGTACTCAACTGGACAGAAAGAACTATTTTTCGTGTAATGCATAATTATGATAATTATGTAAATGTATGCGTTCCTAAAAGTTTAGTAAGCTGCAAAATAAGACAGGATTATGCAATGGCAAGTTTATTTACTTGTCTTTCTACTTTATTAATCTTTCTTATCTAAATGAAAATATACAGAGAAAACTGCTGCTCCTTGTTTCTCCTCAAAGTTGTGTTGAAAGCAAACTTTTCATTAGAAATGCTGAAGTTATTTTATTTCTCATTGAGGATAATGAATACAGAACTTAAACGGTTACTGCATAGTGTAAAATAAGAATAACTTAGCATAATATAAAGTTTTGTCATTTTTATGACTTCTGGGCCATTGATATTAAGATATTACTGCTGAAACAGTGACTCTGCCTTGGAGCTAAAGGACCTGGGTTCATGACTGAAGAGGTTGGAAGGTCAGAATAGTCTATTATATATAGTTTTTTTCCTGTTTACTTCTCAGGAAACTTTTTAAACTTTAAATGGTCTGTCAAACATGTATATTTTGTGATCATCACATTTAAAATGTGTAAGATAATACATCCGTAGAGTACATTTTATAGTTGATCCCTAAAGTAAATTTTACATATCAACTAATAGTATGACAAATAATACAGACAACTATATAGGTATCTGTAAATATATGCATATTTATAAAATATTTATAAATTCATAAAAATTATATATATACACATTCCAGACAGAAACCCATGAAAATTCTGAGATTTTAGTATTTTGAATACATCTATAGTATCATCAATATCACTATATTTTATGAACTTTTTCTATTTTCTATATCGTGAATTAAAAAATAGTGTTATTTCTCATTTTGACTTAGCTTGTCAAGCAAGAGGTAAGATTCAGCTGTTTTATAAAACCAGGTACACATTAATTAATGAAATTTGAAATTTATTTCTATACATTCTTAAATAAAGATTGCATGTATGCCAAAAGTGTTGCCTACATTTGTATGTGTATTTGTGTGTTTGGGGGCTTTTTCTTTTTTTTTGCAGGTGGTAGAAAACTGACTCAAAATAGCTTAAGAAAAAAATGAGACTGCATAGGCTAAGGGCAGGGATACAGGTGTGATGCATGGATGTCTGGACCCAGAGATTTTAGTGCCTTCTGGGAGCTCTGTGGTTAATATTTTATTTTATGTGAGTGTTGAAGTCATTTTTCATTACTGCCAAGGATTTCCTTTACTTGGCATGAAGCAAAACCTGCCAAAATGTCAGATACTCAAACATCAGAATGCTCACTGTCTGATAGAAACATGGTGTCTCTGGTCCAAGTTAAAAGTTTGTCTTGGAAAGGGAAATCATCAGAGTTGAGTAAGGAAAGCATAAGCTACCTAGGCAATCAATATAGAAAGAAGTTTAATTTAGGAAGGTAGAGGTTTATAAAACCTTTGCAATTCAGGAAAAAAATTAGAAAACCGAATTTTAGGAAATTTAGAAGAGCCAGAATCATAGAAAATCTATTACCTGTGATTTCTGCTTCCTGTAAGCACTTAATTGGATTCTTCTCAGAAAGATGTCCAGAAATTGCTGGCAAAAATCTATGTCTGCTCTCTCTCAATACCAATGCACCTACATGTGGCTGTCTCCAGGTAATAACAATGCATCTTTGCCTTCTACTCTCCGAATAATTTGCAAATATCCCTCTTTGTCAAAATACAACTGAGGTTCCACTGGCAAGGGGATTTATAAATTGCAGTTTTCAGGTTTTGTGCCCCTGTAATACAGAAAATTTAGAATGGTGGGGCATTATTGAATATCAGCAAACAATCTCAAGCACAAGCCTTATCTTTCAATATTCGGCATCTAAAAACACAGTTCCTATAATATTTTCAACTAAAATATATTAGTGATAACAAGATGTAAATACTCCTTGTATAGAAAAAGATAAATTCCACCTTCTTCCCAAAGTGTGGAGACACAATGCCTTTTGTTCTCCCTGATTAATTCCTGGATGATTTTGACTTCTTATTCAGTCACAATCACTCTTTGGTCTCATGTAAATTGATGACAATTTAAATGTTAACCATAACCAGTTTATGTTAAAATAAATATGAAAGGAAGGTGAGAGTGAAAATAAAATCAATTAATGTATTTAGAAATAATCTATATGACAAGTTACAGAATAAAATATATGCATAGTTTTTCATTACTGTATTAGTCCATTCTCATGCTGCTGTAAAGAACTGCCCAAGACGGGGTAATTTGTAAAGGAAAGCTGTTTAATTGACTTACCCTTCCACATTGTTGGAGAGACCTCAAGAAACCTACAATCATGGCAGAAGGCAAAAGAGAAACAGGCACCTTCTTCACAGGGCAGCAGGACAGAGTGAATACAAGCAGGGGAAATGCCACATGCTTATAAAACCATCCTATCTCATGAGACTCACTCACTATCACGAGAACAGCCCAGGGGAAACTACCCCCAAGATTCAATTACCTCCACCTGGTCCCACCCTTGACATGTGGGGATTATGGGGATTACAATTCAAGATGAGATTTTGGGTGGGGACACAGCCAAACATATCACTCCTGTTTCTGAAATGAGGCATAAGACTATAGTTGGCATTTATAATATCCTTCCTCTAATAAACATTTCTTCTTCCCTTTGCCCTTAGCTAGAAACTAAGCTGGTTGTGGTGGTTTATCTTGATAAGGTAACTCAAAATTCATTTGTAAAATATCTGATCAACTAGAAGTCTTTCTTCTACATCACACTGAAGAAATTCTGGTATATCAGCTTACTTTAATAATGTACCACTGGCAATACATTAACCAACCAAGCAAATTGTGAATGCTATTCTCAGCTGCTCAAGCATATCTATTACATTCTGACTCTCTAGGAAATGTTCTTTCTCATAACTAATAAATTTGTAAAGGAATTTCTTTTACCTTGATCTAATACCTTTAAAATCCGTCTCTTCCCAAGGTTTATGTAAATAGATATTGAAAAATCTTTCAATTTATGCACCTCCTCCTGGGACATACTTAAACTTGCCCTCTTGAGTTGGCTAGAATTTGACTCTATAGTTAAAAGGAATTAGCTTCCTTATGAGGCAGTTCACTCAGATGAGATAATTATAGGGTCCTCAGAAGGTGAAGTCAGTGAAAGAAAGCATACTTATTATGTCAGGGCAGTCTCAGTAAGATTTTAGACTGTAAAGTGTTCATATTAATGAGAATCTGATCAACTGTTTTAATTTCAACACTGAGGGAACCATTCTTTCTTAATTAATGTCTCAACATTAATGATACATGCTTAATGAGGCTGTGAATTTAGCCTACGTTGTAATTCAGCAACTCACAGGATCAACTTTTGTGTCTGGTTTTCAGAAACACTTGCCTGCTACTACATGAGGAAAGTGATTATTTCAGGGCAGTCTTAGGAACTCTCTGGTTGTCAGGCCATACCTTCACCTGAGAACTTCAGCTCTAGACTTAAATTTCTTCTACAAACTTTCCATTACAGTGTGACTCAGCAATCCTGTATCTACAATCCTTATTTTCATTATTTCCATCATAATGTTCTATTGCAGCAGTCTTTCAACACCATTTTAATTACCAGTTTATATCAAACAATGGCCAGTCTAAATTTAAACTTTTGTTTTTGCCACCACATACCAATGTTTCACATCTACTGATAATGAGGTCATTGCTACTTTCAAATATAACTAGGTCAGATAACTAGCCCCAGATTCTTATATCTATAGTTGTTTCTTTCAAATAATTTCTGGTAGCAAGTGTTGATTGGGTTGGGTTCAGTTTTGAAACTAAAGTCATTTTAGTTATATAGAATGAAATGATGTTTAGTACAGGGTGTAAGAAGCTTCTAGACAGTTTGTAGCCTGGGAAGCAAATGTGAGGAAGACCATTTAAAAAAAATTTGGTTGTTTTTAGGTAATAGAAAAATTGTCAGCAATGGTCATAGCTTCCATCAACAATGAAGCTATTACTTCTCAAGAGACACCCAAAACCTTCAAAAGAAAGAAAGAAAAAAAAGAACACTATCCATTTCTGTTTATTGCTGCCAATTTTTTTTTTTGGTCTTCTATCTTCCACAAATAGTCCTAGTGCTTCTCCTGGTGAAATATATCGGGACTCTAGTCACAGGAGAGTCTAGGAAAGTGTAGCTTCAAGCTTTTACATTCTTGTGAGCCAAAGATGATCTATGAAAGATGAAGATAGTACTGAGTATTAACAAGCAATATGCAGAGTATCAGAAATGTTCTGTTTTTCCTTGTACCTATAAAAATAACATAGAAGACATCATTATTGATAGAACATTGAAAGCCTTAGCTCTAAGTTCAACAACAACAAAAAGATGCAAGCAATCATCATGCCCATTCATCATTTTACTAAGTTCTAGCTAGAAAACAAAGCAAGAAAAAATATCAATTTTTTGCCTACAAAAAAGGAAAGGAAGAAACTTATGCATGCTTTAATAGACTATATGTGTCTGTAAATAATACAAAATAATTTATAGTTAAATGCTTAAAATTCTTTTAGTGCTTAGCAAGGTAGAGGATACAAAACAAATATACAAGAATCAATAACATTTTCTTAAATTCACAAGAAAGTAGCTTAAGATATTGAAGATACTATTTATAAGACTATCAAACTACAAAGTAGATAGGAAAAAATCTAGCAAAATATTTAAGATATTTTTGAAAACTTTAGGGCATTATTGAAAGATATTACAGGATATCTATGCAAATTATGCATGACTTAAAACTATGATTATATATATATTTGGATTTGTGTCTAATATTTTATTTACAATTTTTGTATTGATATCTAAAAGTGAGATTTGTTTTAGATGTTGGCATCAATGTCTTGAGATTCATAAAATTAAGTCCTCTTTTTTTCTATATTCTCTAACAATTTAAATGGAACTAGAATCTATTTCTTCAAATTTCTCAGAAAAATTCTTTTTAAACCATGGAATGCTAGCAAATGTAAAGGCAAACTCAAACACCTGCAGGGGTTAGACAAAGAATCAACATGCACCTTAAATTGAGATTAAAGAAGTATTTTCAGCATAACATAGGCCAACTTAAAGGTGTATGGGCTTGATGTAGCCTATGGGCAGCCACTGTAGAACCCTATACAATAAGCCTTTTTTTAAAAAAATTATTTTACCTTAAGTTCTGTGATACATGTGCAGAACAAAGAAGAGTTTTATGTAACACACAAAATGGACAGAGGCTTAGTATCCAAAAATTATGAAAACTATTACAAATCCATAAGAAAAAATATAAAGTATAATAGAAAATCAGGCAAAAGAGATGAACAGGCACTATCCAAAATCAGATATCCAATGGCTAAATGTAAGAAAAAAATTTAGTACTATTAACAAGGTGAATACAAACAAAATAAAAATGAACTGCCATTATACAAACTCCAGATTTTTTTTTTTGTAAAACAACAATAAACCTAACATTAGCAAGAGTTGACAAATACGTAAAGCAAGTTGAATACAAATATACTGCTGAGTGGAGTGTAAATAGGAACCACCACTTTGGAAAAAGCGTGTGCTTTTACTTTCTAGAGTTGAAGAAGCACGTGCACTATAATCCAAAGACTGCATTTCAGTTAAAGTACCCTGGAGAACTCTCATACCTATGCAGAAAGACACAGGTAAGATGTTGAGAGCTATGCTGTGATGTTTTAGTTCCCACATATATTTTATAAGTATTATTTTTATCTACTCAGTATCTCATAAAAATATTCTTTAAAAATTCTTGGGGGCTATCTTTCGTTGTGCTTTCTTCAGATCAGTGATAGTGGTTAGAAAATAAGATGAGTTTTATTCACATCAAGATTGGAAGGAACACTTTCCAGACTAGTGAGTGTTGTTCTAAAGCATACGATTAAGGCAGAAAAAAAAAAGAATAGAAATGAAACTACCCTTACTTTACAATGAAATGGTAAAAGTTAGAAGTGAGTGCAGAAGAAAGAATCGTGGAAACATAAAATAGTCCATAAATGAGGAATATCAATATGCATATGATAATGATCCACACCAAGTATGTCAAACTGTGGTATTAATTCTATACCACACCAGCTATGTAATTAATTTGTATACCTGACTGAAACTCTTGAGAAGGATATTGAGATGTGTAGTTCCTCAGCACAATAGATGCTGTTGAATTCTTAATATAATCTATGGATTCAGTAGGATAGAATGATGGCAAAAGTGCTTCACAAATTTGTCTGTATATTGTTTATATACTTGCTTAAAATTATCCAAAATTTTTACAAAAGCATCCTCTAAGCCACTTTAAATTGAAAAACTACATAATTGCACAATTTACAGAATTCATGAAAGTAATTCAATTACTGAGGAATAATACAACAGTTCTAAGGCAACCATTCTCTTGAAATCCTGATAGGTATATACAATTTGATGTATTGTACTATGGCTTTTAAGATAATAGATGCAACAGGGAGTTGCACAGGGTTCTACCTTACATTGATACTCAATATAGGCTGAAGGCATTAGACCAAGAGCAAATCAATAAAAGTGATTTTTGCCTGCAAACAATACCATAGGTTCAGGTACCCATCTCTCTGTTGATTTATAGTTCGAATCAGAAATAAAATTATGTTTTATTAATAGTATTCACTAAATATTGCTTTTCTCACTTTACAGTTTTAAGAATTTGAAATGTATTTTATGAATACAAAGAATTTATCTCAGACACTTGAAAAGGGGTGGGGGTTAGGTTTATATACCCTTGAAAGTTGAGGAGTTGCTGGTCTTTTACCTTAACATGGAAGTAAATTGGTAGTCTAAATGCAAGTTGGGACAAAATTATTCTTAAACGTTGATTTTGTTGTGCTCCAGTGTACAGATGTAAGAGTAATGGAGCCCCTAGAAATCAACTTAATGTAGGATTACACACTATGATTTTTTCCTTTAAAAATGTGACTGACTTTGCTTATCGTCATCAAATAAGCATTTTCTTTAAAGAAACAAGACAGGTGGGGGCCTGTGAAGTATTTTCCTATTTATCAAACTCCTATACCTTTCTTAGACTTTTACTTATCTTTTAAAATTATTATTATAAATATACTTTATTTTTGGAACAGTTTTAGATAAACAGAAAATTCAGCAAACAATACAGAGTTTCTATATATACCCCCACATATAGTTTCGCCGTATTAACGTCTTACGTTACCATGGTGCATTTGGTACAATTAATGAATTAATATGAGCGCATTATTTTCAACTAAAGTTCATGATTCATTCAGATTTCCTTAGTTTTGATGTTCTGTCCTTTTTCTGCTAAGGGGTTCTATCCATGATACCACGATGCAGTTAATAATTATGGCTCCTTAGATTCCTCTTGGTTGTGACAGTTTCTTTGTTTTTGGTGACTTAACAGATTTGAGAATTACTGATCAAGTTTATTACAGGAGTGAAATTTGTCTGATGCTTATTCTCATTGTTAAACTGATGTCATGGGCTTTTGAGATTACCAAGGTAAGGTGCCATTTTCAAACATTATACATGACTTCTAATGTTGACCACACTGTACCTTTTCTAAGGAAGACACTACATACAACCTATACTTAAGAAGTGATGAATTATGCCCCTCTTTTAAGGGTGGAGTATCTAAATAATTAATTTGAGGTTTTTCTGCATGGGATATTTGCCTCTTCTCCCTCATTTATTAATATAGTGAGTCAGTCATTGATATTAGCATGGACTCATGAACATTTATTTTATACTTTGGGTTCTAATTTAATGCTGTTTTATTTTGTTGCTCAATTTTTTTCAGCTTCCATTTGAGCTTTTTCAGTTGAATTCTATACTACTTTGATAAGCCCTCATCACTTTTCTAAGGCTCACTACCTTCTGGAATGAAATGATGCTCCAGGCTCATCTTGTGTATTCCTTGTCCCAATCTCAGAATCAGCTATTTCTCCAAAGAGCCACGATTGTTTTCATTAGAGAATAATATTAGAAACCAAGATTTGGGAGCTAGATGTGCTCCTTATTACTGGGTGTCATTTCTTTTATGCCCACTTATCTGCCAGAGCAAAAATGTGAATATACTAATATACTAACCCTTGTATACACACAGAGAGATATATGTGTGTATAAATATATTTATATAGCCATTTGTATCTATAATAAATAAAACATTAAATCTCATTGATGTCCGAAACTTTAATTCATTACCACATGAATCATTCTAGCCTCCTCTGTTTGCTTACCTGTATAGTTCCATTTCAACAGTGAGAAACCTGGTTCCTACCATCTGCTGATCATTTACTTGTTTAATTACACTATAAATTTATAGAAGCATCAGAATTGTTATGCCAAACTCCCATAAGAAATAATTTTATCAACTAGAATACTGTGCTTATGTGCAATTCCTTTTACTTTTAGTCTATAGATTCCATTAATTTCAAAGTTACTTAGGTTATTATCTTATTCCTTATCCCCTTCAGTGAGGTTTTTAAATACATTTTTAATATAGTTAGACTCTCTTGTCACAATCTGCATATTTTTCCTTAGAGCGCTCATCTTCCTAAATGAACATAAAAATACACTTTGTGCTATAAACGTCTATAGGTTTTGACAGATGCAAAATGTCATGTATTCACCATATCAGTATTATACAGAATGTTTCACTGCCCTAAAAATTCTGTGTATTCACTTCCCCTATCATCCTGAAAACCTGGCAAATGATTATATTTTTGCTCTTTCTAGAAATTTGCCTTTTTCAGGATGTCATATAATTGTAATCATAAAGGATATTGTCTCCTCAGACTGATTTCTGTCACTTAGCAATGTGCTTTCAGGATTTCTCTATGTCTTTTTTGTGGCTTCATAGCTCATCTTATCACTAAATAATATTTCATTGTGTAAATATACCACAGTTGTTTATCCAGTCACCTATTTAAGGACACCTTAGTTGCTTTCAGTTTTTGGTGATTATGAACAAGGAGTTATAAACAATTTCTGGAGGTTTTGTGTAGATATAATTTTTCAACTCAGGTAAATTCCTAGAAGAGTGATTATTGGATCATATGGTAGGACTATGTCTAGCTTATGCCAAACTATCTTCCAAAGTGGCTGTATCATTTTAATTCCTACCAGCAATGAGTGAGATTCCTGTTGCTCCACATCCTCATCATATCTAAGTGTAGTTTTGATGTTTGTTTGTCCCAGTGGATTGTGTTTCATGGTGTCTTTCAGTATGCTTTGTAATTTTTTGTTGAAAGATGAGCATAATGTAACATGCCTTGGAAGGTGAACAAACCTTTAGTGTGAGGATTTAAATTAATCGGCTAGGCACTGTGCTGAGTGATTGTTTGCTGTAGCTGTAGATGACAGAAGCTTTGGGTTTTTCAGATGTCCTGTCTTTTTTTTTTTTTTTTAACACTTTTTAGTTTTCTTAAGTAGTCTTTCTTAAACAGTCTATGTTTTGTATCTCTATCAACTATAATCCACTGCTTTTATAGAGGAACTTTGTTGATGTAGTGGCAAGATATAGGGTAAAGGAACATTCTATAACATTATAATTAAATCTCAGTCTTTTGATGAGCCTGAGCTCCTGGGCTCTGACTTTCAGAAGTATTTTGTAGTGTGTCCCCATCCCATCAGGTGAGTCAAGGAGGCTAGAAGGACCTGGATTTGGCTGATTGCCCTTTCCTTAAGTTGTATAAGGCTCTGGTGGAGTTATTTCTTTTCAACAGCAGGACTGTTTTGGGGGATGTTCTGGGAAATTTTGAAATGGTTACATTACTCTTTCTTCTGCTGGAAACAGGAGGATATTTTTCTCAGATCCTTACCGTGATAACCTGTTTCCTAGAGGTAAAACTCATGAATGCATTGCATCCCCTTTAAGGACTGAGCCCCTACGAGTTTCTTGCTCTCAAGCTCCTCATTTCTTAACCTCCAGCAATTCACTAACATTGCCATTTCAGTGTTCCTACCTGTCAATTATTCTATGGGCTTCTGCTTCAAGTTAAGTTGATCTTGACTCTAATTTTCTATATTTGCCTATCTCTTCAGATTTTGGGGTGGCACTTTTCCCTGTTATTTCAATTCTCTGATCTGATGGGTTTAATAAAAGTCATTGATTTTCAGTTTGTTCAACCTTTTTTTTTGTTGGAACTGAAACCAGAAGTCTTCTGCTTAATTTCCTTTGATAGCATCATGTCACAATGCCACTTCTAGCTATACATACTGTCAAAATTAGAGATTTGTTAGTAAATGAGAAAGGAAAGGTTAACATTGGGTAGGCAACTAACTAATAGAGATAAATTTCTTTCTTTCTTTTTTTTTTTTTTTTTTGTTGAGATAGAGTCTTGCTTTGTCACCAGGCTGCAGTGCAGTGGTGCAATCTTGGCTGACTGCAACCTCCGACTCCCTAGTTCAGGTGATACTCCTGCCTCAGCCTCCCAAGTAGCTGGGATTACAGGCACACGCCATCACGCCCAGCTAATTTTTGTATTTTTAGTAGAGACGGGGTTTCACTGTGTTGGCCAGGATGGTCTCAATCTCCTGACCTCATGATCCACCTGCCTTGGCCTCCCAAAGTGCTGGGATTACAGGCGCGAGCCACTGTGCCCGGCCATAGCGATAATTTCATTTACTAAAAGTAAAATAGCTTCAAAGAGAGAAAGTTTTCATTCTGTTAAGTTATGCTATCTTCTAAAGGGAAAGTTCTTTAAAGTTGATTCTTAATGCGAAATATTTGAGTTTGATTCAATTTCTTACAGTTATGAAATTATATTTTCTCTACTAGCTCAAATCTTAGTTATGACATTTAAAATTCACATTAATATTATTTTAATTGAGAGTTCTGACAACTTTGAAAAATGTCTGATAATATTGGTTAAAAAATTGAAAACAGAAGAATACTATATATACCAACAATGATGAATAGTTATCAAAATAACTAATTTTGTATTGAACTTTATTGGTGTGCATTTTTAGATTCATACGCTAAGTGAGTCATCCACACCTTGTTTAGAATCACATCTATTACTGTTTGTTGGGTAAGATATTAATTTATTTAGTTTTTCTCTAACTACTTTAGTGATCTTAACACATCTGTTTCTTCCTTTATAACCGAGGAAGCTACAGATAAACAGAATATAAACCTAGGCTAAGGTTTAAGGTAAGCAACATTTTATAGTTTTTAAAACAATATATTTAACCTTCTCTTTCTAAATAGCAAATAGAAAGCTAACCCCAAGAGTCATCACTTTGAATCAGCCTGAGAAGTTTCATTTTGCAATGGAAGAAATTAAACAGTTTTGAAAGCTTATTCTCTTTTGATTTCTAAGTGCTAACGCGTGTTAGTACATTTATTATACAAACCACTGATAGAGATATTGTTATTTAAAAATGGAGGGAAAAATGATTGGAACTTGACTATATCTACACAACTAATCAGTGACAGAATATAAATTCAATTTTTCTTTTCCAGAGTCGCTTCTCTCAAGCTCCTCATTGTAATAATTTCTATCTATAAATATGTCTAAGATTTTAAAAAGAAATAATTGTTGAATTTTCAGTTGAAATTTTGGCATGTATTAAACAAAGATGATCACATACATTTCATTTTTAATCTGCTCATTTATTAAAAAGTATTATGCTCCAACAAAGTGTAAACATGTATTAAGCATTGGTGAGTCAACTCTGTATGAGAGAGCAAGGGTACTGTCCTCATGAGTAAAGTTCAATGAGATAGAAATTGATATTAGTTGAATTAATGCACAACAAATACTTGCAAAGTAAAATAAAATTATTATAAATTTTCCACAAAAACTGAATGAGAGAAAATCATGGTGGTGTAAAAAAAATACAGATGGTAAATTAATATTTGCATGGCCAATATATACAAACTCAGTTATAACATGAACATGTTTGGAGGATCTAATGTAAGGCGTGGGTGGTGATGGGTGTGTTAATTAATTTGTGATAATTATTACATAATATGTATTTCAAATCAGCACATGGTACACCTTGAATACATTCAATCTGTGCTAATTAAATATTTTTAAATAAAAAGGAAAAAGTATACATATATAAATTAAAAGATTTTCATGGAATGGTGAAAGTCATGGAAGACTTCTTCAAGGAACTAACGTTAGAAGATGAATAATGGGTAGAAGACAACTTTATTTAAAAGAAAGAATATATGTGAAGACTGTGTCCAGAAATAAACATAACTAGGGAACAGACAGCAGGCCACAGTGATACTTGGGTATAGTGAGAAGGGCAATGGATGCTTGTGAGTTCTTTTAATATCCAGTTTTTAAATTATTTGCAATGACTAATTCAACAGTATCCTGTATTACCTAATGTAATTAAACCAGATATTAGAAACAGTTAGAAAGCAGGAAGCAAAACCATTTGCAGGCAATATATTAGTACAGTATGCTTAAAATGTTTACAGAATCAGTGATAAAATTAACTCAAACAAGAGAATTAAATAAGGGTATAGATTATAAACTTAGTATGAAGAATGAATAGCCTTCATATACACAAACAATAACCAGAAAATGCAATGTTCAAATAGCTCTGTTTAATATAGGAAAAAAATCCTAGAATACATATGAATAAACTTAAGAAAAACTATTTAAAATCAATAAGGGAAAATGTTAAAACATGCTTGAAAGCCACAGACATACACTTGAACAATTCTAAAGGCATCCCTTGTTCTTAGACATGATGACCCAACATCATATAGATTTCAATTCTCCCTAAATATTAAATATTTCATGCTATTCCACAAAAATTATCTATTAAATTTCTGTGCGGAAACTGTAGTTGATACCTCACTTCATATGGTAAAATATTCAGAAGTCAGTAAAATACTGAAAATAAAACCCGTAACTGGGAAATTGCACAAATTCAGAATTAAAACTGCTATGTGTAGGTACATGAATAGAAAGATAGTCCAGTAGAAATACCCTTAAATATTTATTAGATTGTAAAGAGACACCTCAAATCACTGGGGCATCTTTTTAATAAATATTGTTGTTGGCTTACTGATTGAATATCCATTGGAATAAAAATTTGATTAACCTCTTACAAGAAATATTTCCAAATGGATTAGAGATCTACATGTAATAACACTATGTAAGTACTAGAAGAAGACAGAAGTGAATTATTCTATAACATAAAGGACAAGGTTTTTAAACTATGGCCCAAAACCTAGATGCAATCAAAGAAAAGACAGACAAATTCAACTACACACACACACACACACACACACACACACACACACACGGCAAAACAAAACAAGCAAAATCACAATCAAATGGTAAACTGAGAGAAAAAAATTGCAACATATATTGCAAGTGGCTAAAATCTCTGTGATATAAAAAAGTTGAGAAAAAGGAGACTATAGCCCACCAGGAAAAATAAGTAAAAAAATAAAAACATACCGTTCATTTAATAACAGAAAAAAATTGCTTTAAACATTTAAAAGTGCTTCCCACTCGTAAGACAGAAACTCAACTAACAGTTTAGTAAATATTAAAACTCATAACAATTTATTCTTTTGACTGAGCTGAGTAGACATTCTATAGCATTGCTGTTGGGAATGTAAATTGATAACAAATTATTGCAATCCTTATGTAGGAGTATTTTCCAACCTCAAAAATGAAATGTTTACATGTGCTTATATTTTAGATCAGCAAGCCCACCTCGTGAAATTTAACCTGAAGATATAATTCCAACAATTATACGCATACACGAAAATACACACGTACATAGTTATTCATTGCAACATTATTTGTATTTGTGAAGAAGAGCAAAGAAATAAAAACAATAGAAGGCAAAATGATCAGGGAAAGTGACAACAATGTATAAAATATATCAATAAAATTATGTAATGTCAATAGTGATGAAGTAGTGTTAACTGTCAGAGAAAGTTGAGAGACTGAACATACAAACAGACAATGTCTGGATCATGCAGAACTCTGACCTACAATCTGCAACAACCTTCCAAGGACACCAACCTCTTTATCTACAATAAACAACCCAGGAAACCAGCCTTATAAGTCAGACTTGAAGGCAGACTACCATTTCTAGTGACAATTCAGGAAACTAAGAAATTCTTAGTTTTGAACAATCAGTTCAAAATGGCCAGGACTTGATTAATAACTAACAACTTCACTATTTTTTGTTCCCAGTTCCAAGTGAAGACAAATCAGATAAAGCCAAATATGCATCCCTAATTAATCACATAAGACATCCCACTTCTGGTTAGCTTGCCTAAAACATCCCTGGGCCAACACCCTTCAATCGGGGTTTACTTCAAGTCTTTCCTCTTTCCCAGTACAAAGCTTTTTCACTCCTCTGCCTGTTTTGGAATCTCTGCCAAAATGCAAGTGATGGTGTCTGGCTGCTATAGAATAAATAATCTTTGTTTTTCTCATTTGACTAGTCTTTATTTCCACAGTGCTAAAACCCATGCATTTAATATTGGGAGTTGTTATACCAGAAAATAAACTAGAAGTATTAGTTACTTCAGAACATGAAAGAGTGTAGGATAGGGTAAAATTGAATATGTAATTGAGGATTTCAATCTTCAAATTCCTCCCTTAAGCATTCATACAGAAAACAAGATTGATAGAAAACACTGAGATTTAATAGTGAAATAACCAATATTCTTTTCTAGCTCTGTTTCTGGAACACCAGCAACTAGGCTTATACTACTCAGCTAGAGAGATTGCTGTATTATGGATTGGAATCCAACAACCTCAAAAGAAAAAGTTCAGAATATGAAAACTTTGAGATCCATAACTGCCAAGCCTCTATGCGATCAGCCTAGAGTAAAGCTTTGAGTTGGGCAAGCACTGTTTCTACAACCAGAACATCCAAGCAAAATTTTAGTGCCACTGTCTCAAAGATGAATGGACAAGTATCGCTAGCAATTTGAGGAAGGTTTTCAACATGAAATATGGATACAAACATACAAAAAACTAAAACGAATTCACAGGCAGAAGAATCCACAGAAAAAAACAACTAACAACAATCTAGGTAATAACTTCCGAGAAATAAAAGCTATTACACATGTGAAACAAGATCAAGATATTTTAAAAAATGCATGTTCTTGGCAATAAAAGAAATATGTTAGTAGAAATAAACATTGCAATATATAGAGTCTTTTTTTTTTCAAGACGGCTGACTAGGAACATTGGATGCTAGTTCTCAGAATGAAAATCAAAGTTGAAGGTGAATGATCATGATCTGAATAGAAGGCTGAGGTGAGAGAGACAGGAGCTGTCAGAGAGCCCATGGGAATAAAGCTGGGATGCAGAAAAGGAAAGCAGCAAGAGTCTGGCAGAGATTAATCCCCGATCAACTCAGAGTCCCAAGGGAAGGGTGTATGAGGGATATGTCTCTGCTTTCCTCTGCCCTGCCACAAACTACTGGCTGCCAAATTGTCAGTGAGCCCATCTGCCATTGCAAATCCAGGCAAGCTGTTGGTGGCGATTTGGGAACTTCTCAAGAAAAGAGCACTGGGTGGCCAGCTCCTACAGGGGTACCCCGTGCCTGAACTGAGATGACAGGTGCCATACTGGTGTCATACTGGTCGTGCATCCATTGTGGGCCACTGGCCTCACTGGGTTACCTTAGCCCTTGCATCACAACATCATCAAATCCTCCACAAACATACCACAGACCTGCTCTGACTTGGCAATTACAGGGGACTGGCATGTGCCTGGGTATCTGTGGAATCCCCAGAGATCTAGTCTTTGGCAGGGGTCACCACATGGGAAGGAAGGAGAGCAGCCTGCTAAAGCCCCACCTTGGGACAAAGGAAATGCAGGTGCAGTGCTAATTGCTGAAGTCAGTGGTGTGGGTGGTCAGAAACAAACCTGGAAAAGGAGTAATCTCCCGCACCCCCTATCCACTGTTGTGGATGCAACAGAGGATTTCTCTGCTGGGGGCTGGCACGAGTGCACTTTCCAGTACCTTTCATGGTGGCTGAAACCTTGTTGAAAGTGAGACCACATCACCTAGGCTTGCACAAAGGGCGAGACCCATCTTCCCCTCCCTAGAAGAGTGGCAGTGTCCCAGCAATGGAGGGCAAAGAAGCCACAGGCTCTGGAGCTGGTAGGAGGTAGCAGGGATGTTGTTCTGCTAGGAGCCCTTTGTGGCAGCTACTAGAGGAGCATTTCTGTACATCTTAGTTGCTTGCATTGCAGCTGGGAGCCAAAAGACACTGTCGATAGAAACTGAAGATTGTAGAACCTGCCTGCAATGAGGGCGTGATAGGGAAGTGGATCACGTTCCTACCTGCCTAGGACAAGGAGCTGGTACAGGGACTCTGCACCCCGCCCCCATCCCTCAACCCCCATCAGGTAAGTGCCTTCAGTCATCATCAGTCTACCCAAAGGCTAGTTGGCGCTTTCTCTTAAGCGCCTCCTACTGGACTGGAGACTGAACTGCACCACCAAGTGAAAACCTTGCTGTCAGAAGGGGTTAGTGCTAGTGTTTGAGAGAAGCTTCCTGAGATCTCACTCCTAGCCCCACAGAAGATAGTGTGTTGGCTCATATGCCCAATACACCGTGATAGCAAGCAGCATTTGAAAAAGCCACTGAACCAAACTAAACTTCATAAGCAAATGAGAAATCGTCTTTTCCAGACAAGACTATAAAGAGTCTTGTTTAAAAAAGACTTTAAACCAACAACGCTGAAAATGGAAAAGAATGCATTACAGAATGATAGAGGATTCAATTCACCCAGAAGACTTAACTATCATTAATATATGTGCACCCACCATTGAAATACCCAGGTTCATAAAACAGGTACTTCTAGACCTTTAAAAATACTTAGCCATACGATAATGGTAGAGACCTCAACACCCTACTGGCAACATTAGACAGATCATTGAGGCAGAAAATTAACAAATTCTGGGCTTAAATTTTATGCTTGACCAATTAGATCTAATAGACATCTACAAAATACTCCACCCATCAACTATAGAATGTACAGTCTTTTCATCTTCACATGGAGCATTCTCTTAGATTGACCACATGCTTGGCCATAGAGTAGTCTCAATAAATTTCAAAAAAATTGAAATCCTACCAACTGTACTCTTGAACCACAGTGGGGTAAAAATAGAAATCTGTAGCAAAAGGATGTCTCAAAACCTCACAATTACAATGAAAGTAAACAACTTGTTCCTAATTGATTCTTAGGTAAACAACAAAATTAAGGCAGAATAAAAACTCTTTGAAATAAATGAAAACAGAGACTTAACATACCAAAAGCTCTGGGATGCAGCAAAAGCAGTGTTATGAGGAAAGTTTATAGCGTTAATCATACCTCTGAAAGTTAGAAAAATCTCAGTAAATGACCTAATATTTAATTAGGTCAACAAACTAATTCCAAAGCTAGCAGAAGAAAGAAATAACTATAATCAGAGCAGAACTGAATAAAATTGAGAACAAAAAATTCATGCAAAGAATCAACCAAACCGTAAGTTGGCTCTTTTAAATGATAATATCAATAGACTGATAGCTAAATTAAAGAAAACAAGATCAAAACAACCACATTTAGAAACAACAGTGACATAAGCAACCCACAGAAATACAAAATATCTCCAGAGACTGTTATGAACACTTCTATGCACACAAACTAGAAACTCTACAGAAAATGAATAAATTCCTGGAAACATACAACCTCCAAATATTTAATCAGAAAGAAATTGGAATCCTGAACAGACCAATATTGATTGCTGAAATTGAATCAGTAACAAAAAACATACCAAATCAAAAAAGCTCCAGGCAAGATAGATTCACAGCCAAATCCTATCAGACATACTAAAAAGAGTGGATACCAATTATACTAAAATAATACCAATAATCAAGGCAGATGGACTCCTCCCAAATTCATTCTGTGAAGCCAGTATCACCCTGATACCAAAACCTGGTAAAGACACAGCGAAAAAAGAAAACTACAGGCCAATATCCTTGACGAACATAGATGTAAAAATCCTCAACAAAATACCAGAAAACAAAATCCAGCAGCACATCAAAAAGTAAATTCACCATGATCAAGTAGGCTTCATTATTGAGATGCAAAAATGGTTCAACATATGCAAATCAATAAATGTGATTTACTACCTAAACAGAATTAAAAACAAAAACCATATGATCACCTCAATTGATGTGGAAAAGGCTTTCAGTAAAATGCAACATTGCTTCTTGATAAAAATCCTGAACAAACTAGGAATCAAAGGAACATACCACAAAATAATAAGTCATCTATGGCAAATTCAGAGCCAACATCATACTGAATGGGCAAAGCTGGAAGCATTCTCCTTGAGAACTGTAACACGATAAGGATGACCAGTCTTATCAGTCCTATTCAGCATGGTACTGGAAGTTTTAGCTAGCAACCAGGCAAGTGAAAAAAAATAAAAGGCATCCATTAGAAAAAGAAGAAGTCAAACTGTCTCTTTTTGCTGATGATATAATTCTGTTACCTAGAAAACTCCACAGACCCTGCAAAAAGACTCCTGAAACTGATAAAATACCTCAGTAAAGTTTCAGGATACAAATCAAAGAACAAAAATTCGCATTTTATACAATATTATTGTTCAAGCTAAGAGCCAAATCAAGAATGTAATCCCATTTACAATAGCCACCAAATATTAAAAATGCCTAGGAAAATATTTACCCAAGAAGGAAAGACCTCTACCAGGAGAACTACAAAACACTGATGAAATAAACTGTAGATGATGCAACCAAATGAAAAAAAAATCTCATGCTCATGGATGGAATAATGAATATTGTTAAAATGACTATATGGCCCAAAGCAATCTATAGATTCAATGCAATTCCTATCAAATTAACAAAGTCATTTTTTCACAGAATTAGATAATTCAATTCTAAAATATATATGGAACAAAAAAAAAGAGGCCCAAGTAGTCCAGAGCATCCTAAGCAAAATTAAGAACCTGGAGGCATCACATTACCTCACTTCAAACTATACTACAAGGCTATAGTAACCAAAACAGCATGGTGACGGTGGAAAAATAGACATATAGTCATATGTTTGGCTATGTCCCCACCAAAATCTCATCTTGAATTATAATCCCCATAATCTCCATGTGTCAAGGGAGGGAACCGGTGGGAGGTGATTGGATCATGGGAGGCGGTTTTCTCCATACTGTTCTTGTGGTAGTGGTATAGTGAGTGAGTTCTCATGAAATCTGATGGTGTTATAAAACAGTTTTCCCTGCTCTTGTTAGCTCTCTTTCCTGCCACCATGTGAAGAAAGTCTTTGCTTCCCCTTTGCCTTCTGCCATGATTTTAAATTTCCTGATGCATCCCTAGCCATGCAGAACTGTGAGTCAATTAAACCTCTTTTCTTTATAAATTACCCATTCTCAGGCAGTTCTTTATAGCAGTGTAAAAAGGGACTAATTCACGTACATCAATGGAACAAAACAGAACCCATTATGAAAGCCACATACCTACAACCTACTGACCTTTGACAAAGCTGACAAAGACAAACAATGGGGAAAAGACACTCTATTCAAATGGTGCTGGGGAAATTGGATAGATATATGCAGAACAATGAAACTGGACACATACCCCTCAAAATATGTAAAAATTTTTCAAGATGAATTAAAGATTTAAATGTAAGACTTGAAACTATAAAAATCCTTGAAGAAAGCCTTGGTAAAACTCTTCTGGATGTTGGCCTAGGCAAAAAATTTATAACTAAGACCTCAAAAGCAATTGGAACAAAAATAAAAATAGACAAATAAGAAGTAAAGAGCTTCTGCATAGCCAAATAAACTATCAACACGGTAGACAATTGTATTAGTCCACTTGTATTGCCATAAATGAATACCTGAGGCTGGGTAATTTATAAGTAAAAGAGGTTTATTTGGCTCACAGTTCTGCAGGCTGTACAGGCATGGCAACAGCATATACTTCTGGTGAGGCCTCAGGAAGCTTTTGGTGAAGCTTCCTGGTGATAGAAAGTGAAGAGGGGGCGGGCATGCCACATGGTGACAGACGGAGCAAGAGAGAGAGCAGGGAGGTCCCAGACTCTTTTTTCACAATCATATCTCATGGTAACTCATTATCACAGAGGGCACCACGCTATTATGAGAGATCCACCCCCGTGACCCAAACAACTCCCACTAGGCCCCACCTTCAACACTGGGTCACATTTCAACATGAAATTTGGAAGGGAAAAACATTCAAACTATATCAACAACCTACAGGACGGGAGAAAACATTTGCAAACCATGCATCCAATAAAGGACTAATATCCAGAGTCTGTAAGGAACTTAAGCAATCAACAAGCAAAAAACAACCACATTAAAAAATGGGCAAAGACGAGTGCAGTGGCTCACGCCTGTAATCCCAGAACTTTGGGAGGCTGAGGTGGGCGGATCACAGGGTCGTCAAGAGATCGAGACCATCCTGGCCAACATGGTGAAACCCCGGCTCTACTAAAAATACAAAAATTAGCGGGGCGTGGTGGCGGCTGCCTGTAGTCTCAGCTACTCGGGAGGCTGAGGCAGGAGAATTGCTTGAACCCAGGAGGTGGAGGTTGTAGTGAGCTAAGATGGTGCCATTGCACCCCAGCCTGGCGACAGAGCAAGACTCCGTCTCAAAAAAAAAAAAAAAAAAGGCAAACACTTCCAGACACTTCTCAGAAAGATAGATACAAGTGACCCACAAAATGCTCAACATTCAGTATCAGAAGAAAATATAAATTAAAACCACAATGAGATACCATCGCATACCAATCAGAATAAGTATTACTAAAAATGTGAAACGTAATAGATATTGGTGAAGATATGGAGAAGAGAATGCTCATATATTATTGGTGGGAATGTAAATTAGTTTAACCCCTTTGGAAAGCAGTATGGAGATTTCTCAAGAAACTAAAAACAGAACTACCATTTGACCCAGCAGTCTGACTACTGGGTATTTACCCAAAGGAAAAGAAATCATTTTATCAAAAAGACACCTGCCCTCACATGTTTATTGCAGCACAGTTCACAATAACAAGGTCATGGAATCAACCTAAGTGTCCAATAGTAGTAGATTGGATAAAGAAACTGTAGTACATATACAACATGTAATACTATGCAGCCATAAAATATGAAATCATGTCCTTCGCAGGAACATGGATGGAGCCGGAAGCCATTATCCTAAATGAAGTCACTCAGAAACAGAAAATCAAATACAGCATAGTCTCACTTATAAGTAGGAGCTAAACGATGGGTACACATGGGACATTCTGAAAATAGTAGACTTTGGCGACTCCAAAAGGTAGGGGTGTAGGATAAGGGAAAAATTGCCTGTTGTGCATAATGTTCACTATTTGGGTGATGGTTCACCAGGAACCCAAACCTCACCATTACACAGTATATACTCCTTACAGAAACCTACATATGTACCCTCTGAATCTAAAATAAAATAACAAAAAGAATGTTTAGGTTTTAGACTGAAGAACATATTTCAGATAGCAACTACAACTTAATTGGAAGTACTGTTTAACTGATTGTATTAGTCCATTCTCATGCTGCTAATACAGACATACATGAGATTGGATAATTTATAAAGGAAGTTTAATGGACTCTCAATTCCACATGGCTGGGAAGACCTCACAATCATGGTGGAAGACGAAGGTAGAGCAAAGGGAATTCTTACATGGCGGTGGGCAAGAGAGCATGTGCAAGGGAACTCCCCTTTATAGAACCATGAGCTCCACCGGGCACGGTGGCCCACGTCTGTAATCCCAGCAGTTTGGGAGGCCGAAGCGGGCAGATGACGAGGTCAGGAGATGCAGACCATCCTGGCTAACACGGCGAAACCCCGTCTCCACTAAAAATACAAAAACAAAATTAGCTGGGCATGGTGGCGGGCGCCTGTAGTCCCAGCTACTCGGGAGGCTGAGGTGGGAGAATGGCGTGAACCCAGGAGGTGGAGCTTGCAGCGAGCTGAGATCGCGCCACTGCACTTCAGCCTGGGCAACAGAGTGAGACTCCATCTCAAAACAAAACAAACAAACAAAAACCCATGAGCTATTTTGAGGCTTATTCACTGTCACGAGAACAGCAAAGGAAAAATCTGTTCCCATGATTCAATTACTTCCCACTAGGTTCCTTCCACAAAATATGGGGATTATTACAATTCAAGGTGAGATTTGGGTGGGGACATAGGGCCAAACCATATCATTGATGCAACACCTGAATAATGTGAGTTACAGAATGTTAGAATGATTGAAATAATACAAGAAGTGTTCTCCAAACTAAAGGATTTTGGATTGAAAGTGCCCATGTAGAACCCTACACAGTGATATCATAAAAAATATACCACGGTGTATATTGTGACTTTTTTAGATTTTAGGAACAATGAAAAGTACCTAATATTCAGAGAGAGAGCGAGCGAGAGAGAGGAAAATGAGAAGCAGGAAGCAAACAAGTTGCATACAAATATTTGGAAATGAAAATGACAACACCATTGGAATCTAGATGATAGTGGGGCAAAACCTGCAATGTTATGAGGGTAAATTTGTACCCTCATTATAATATTATACCAAGGCAAATTATTAATCAAGTGTTTGGAGAAAATAAATACTTTGTCAGATATGCAAAGTCTCAAAAAAATTAACTCCTGGTCACTTTTCCTCAGGAAGTACCAGAGTATGGGCCTTGTTCATGGATAGAAAAAGGTAGAATATTGTTAAAAATATTCTTCTTCTTAACTAAAATGCGGTAAATATTTACTTTCAAATCCTTATGATATATTTCATGGAACTTCAGAAGCTAATCCTTAAATAAATGGAACGTGTAAATAGACAAAATCTCTGAGATAAAAAATTAAGAGAGGGTATGCTATAACAAATATAAAAATTTGTCATAATGAAAGATGATTTAAATACTACAACATTGCTATAGAAATATATAAGCAAGCCAATGGAATGATGTAGATATCTCAGGAACAGAGCTCTATATATATTGAACTTAGAATATGATAAATCTTGCATTAGGTGTTAGTAGGAAAAATGGCGCAGGTGACACAGAGAACGTCAAAATTCTTTGCTTGCATATCCCCTCAAGTACATTTTAAAAATATAACCTCTGTATCATTCTGATTTAGAAAACTTGTAACTTCTATATACTTAAATATTGAGAGCTTAATAACTATGCCAGATTATTATATACTGCAGCAAGTTTGTAAAATATGCCCAATGGGATGTAAATATCTACAAATGATGTCTAGCAGCATCCACTTAGTACATTCATGAACATGCTCTTTTAACATTCTAAAATGTTACATCTTCCAGTTTTTGAAATAACATTTCTATTCCACTTTCCTTGCAGAATTTTCTCCAAATTTAATACATTTTATGCTTAAAAGTTACATATTTATTTTTCTTCAGTGAAATACATATAATATTGACATTTTAACATGTTTTATTTATGCTGTTACAAATCTAAGTGTTCAAATATTCTCTAGATTTTAACTCACTTTTATTAACTTCTCATTGAAATATTGCACAAGTCCATGTGTAAATATTCACAAATAATAAATGTATATTGGAAACATTTTCCCATTATGAAATCATGTTCACAGATCAAGAAAGTGAATGTGATCAGCAATCAAAAAATATCTCTCTCCCTCTTAATGCTTCTCCTAAAAATGACATTATTCTGATTCCTAATATTTAAGATTAGCTTTGCCAACTTTTGCCTTCATATAAATGGAATCATTTGTTACTAATAAGTGCTTAGGGCCAGGTACAGTGGCGGTGGCTCATACCTGTAATCCCAGCACTTTGGGAGGCTGAGGTGGGCGGATCACTTGAGGTCAGGAGTTCGAGAGCAGCCTGGCCAACATGGTGAAACCTCATCTTTACTCAAAATACAAAAATTAGCCTGGCGTGTTGGCACACGCCTGTAGTCAGCTACTGGGGAGGCTGAGGCAGGAAAATAGCTTGAACCTGGGAGGCAGAGGTTGCAGTGAACTCAGATAGTGCCACTGCACTCCAGCCGGGGCGACGGAGTGAGACTGTCTCAAAAAAATAAAAAATTTAAAAAAGTGCTTATTGCTGCCTGGCTTCTTTTGCTCGATATTGTGCTTGTGAGAGACGTTCCCATTGTTGCATGTAGCAACTAGCCATTTTTTCTCAATGCTATGCTTGACTATGTGCCTGTAGCATGATTGAGTTATCTGCTCTTCCTCTGCTTTGCTCCCTCTATTACGGTGTAGCCCTCTAGGGTTTCCAATGGAGTTAATGAGGTCTTTATCAGGGTGCCTCTCTTTGATGGGCCTTGAACTCCAAGTTTTGTCTTCTTGGCACTATAAAATGCAGAAAATATCCATTCGATTACCGGGAGTTTTGCCTAGCTTTTTATCTTTTATCCTGTGCAGTTCAAGAATAAGGCAATTGCCCTAAGGTAAAAGCCAATATAATGTTAAGTTTCTTTTTCTGTGCCACATTTCTGAAAAGAATATAACTGCTTGACCACCCCTCTTTTCTCCAAGTTCCAACTGTTGTTGTATCCATAGTTTTTATTTTCCTTTTCCTCCAGCTCTATAAAATTGATAAAATGCCTGCTAATTTCTCAGCATGTATTAGTGGTGGTTCCTAGTGGGACTATCTTTAAAGACATATAACAAGAATAAGTAAGTGGCCTGAGGGAAGAAGAACCTGCAGAATTTGCACACTTCCCTGTACCCTTTCTCCTCAGGATATTGACTCCTTGAGTGCTGTTTCCTTTGGGACCTCTCTATTATTTTCTAATAATTTTGTTGTGGTGGTGATGGCTCTTTGTTTTTTTGCATTTTATCTAGCTATTCCAGTGTTTCTCAGCGGTAGATTTGACTATTACAATTACTTTATCATTGCCCTGTAGATAATTTTACTATCATTTAAGTGAACTTTTTATTAAAGCATAACATCCAAATAGAAAATTCCAAAAATACAGCCAGATAGACCCACGTATTTTTTAAAGTGAACATACCCTTGTACTAAGAACCCAGATTTTCAAAAACATAATAATATACTAACACCCGTGTCCCTGCTCAAATAACTCTCTACAACCACCCAAGGGTATCTATTCTAACTTCTAGCACCCTAAATTCATTTTCATTGTTGTTGACCATCATAAATAAGAAACATCCATGAACTTTTCTTTTGTGATAGTCTCACTTTGCTTAACATTGTTTTTCAGACACTTGTGGTATTTTTGACAATGTTGACATCCCTTATTTTGTTAAGGTGGTGAATTGATTGATTTACCAGTTATACCACCTCTGCATTCCTAGAATAACACTTGGTTATTATATTTGGCCATAATATGTTATCTAGTAGTGATTTTCTGATATTGTTTTAATAATTTTGTATCTATGATAATGAGCATTTTTTGTATTCATGCTTAATGTAACATTTCATATTTCAAATTTCAATTTTTTAGTTTATGTATACATTTTACTACGTGTTTTCTATTTGAACTGCCTCTATTATATTCTTTTCATTAGTTCTTTCTTTCCTTTTTCATGAGTCATGTATACTTATTGCATTTTCTCCTTTATTAAAGTTTAGTTTTACATTATTTTCCTACTTGTTTAATGACTACCATAGGATTTACAACGCATATCTGTGTGGTTTATTATCATTTGAAAAAATGAACACCTTTTTTTCTCTCCCCCAATAATAGGGACTTTAAAACAATTTATTATCATCCATGTACCTCACTATTGCCTTTTGTTTTATTGTTTTGTGCATTTTAATTCTATGTATGTATGAAATACCACAAGAAAATAGTATTATAATTTTCTCTCTCTCATACACACACTCCCACATGCTCACCAGTTCTCCTGCTCTTTATAGCTTCTTTCTTTTCCTTGTTTCCATCTGAAATTATTCTCAACCTACTGAAAGAATACTATTTGATCTTTTTTAAGGCACATCTAGTGGTGATGAATTCTTCCAGGTTTTATTTGTTTGAAAATATTTTTATTTTCTAAGTTGGTAATAATTTTTCAGCATATGTCTTGATTCTGTTGAGATGCTGTTATCTGTATATTTCAACTTTTGTAGTTCTATTGAGTATAATGTAGCTTTATTCTTTAGACACTTTTAAGATTTTCTCTGGTGTTGAGGTTCAGCCATTTTACTGAAGTAACTAGGTTTGGTTTCTTTTGTGTGTTTTTTTTTCCTTAGGGTTTTCAGAGCATCTTGAATATATGTGCTATTATTTTTCATCAACTCTTTCCATTGAATTCTCTTCCTTCTTTTTTCTTTTGCTCTTCTAAAACTCCATCTGAATATGAAATCTTTTTACCATGTCCCTTATGACCCTTGTTCTTTTATATAATTTTCATTTTCTTCTCTATGCTTTAGTTCACATATTTTCTCTTGGCTTATTTATATTGTTCACCAATCCTGTTTCCTATGATTTCAAATCTCTTATTATGCACATTGGTTTTTTATTTCTGTTATTGAATTTTGAAGTCTAGATTTCCCATTTGATTCTTTTTTTTTCAGTTATAATTTTTAGGTAAAAATTCTTTATCTTTTAATATATTCTTTCATCTTTTATTAAAATCTAAATCATAATTATTTTAAAGTCCTGTGAACATACTCCAATAACTGAATCACATGTAGGTTGTCTTCTACTTTCTATTTTCTTGGTGTTTTCAGTTATATTTTCCTATCTTTTGACAAGTATGTTTGTTGATTGAATCATGGGCATTGCGTGTAAAGATTTTAGGTGTTCTTGATGATATGTCCTTCCTTCAAATAAAATTTGCCTTTTCCTCTGGTAGGAATATAAAATGGGTGTCATTAATCTGATCAGAAACTTAGCTGAGTCAAATTGTTTTTGCAGATTTACTATTACTCCATCTACCTCTGGTTTCCTCCCATTTTAAAACAAAATACCCAAGTGTGTAATTGAGAGACCAGTTCTCATGGGCATTCATCCTATTGGTATGACTTGAACTAAAATTCTTTTCTGTTTAACACATCAAAACAGTAAAATCTCAACTGTACTCATGTAACTTTTCTTCTTAGCTTTTTTCTTCCTTACTTATGCAGCTTCTGAATCCTTCATACATCTCCATTAAAAAACCTGTTTCATTCAAACTCAGTTCTCTGGCCATTGCTTCTTGTTAAGACCTGATGTCTTAAGTCTCTAGTTTTGTTCCTCAACTCCTGAAAAACCACAAAAGCTCTTCTGATTTCTCTGTCCTCAGCAGTGTTCCTCTGTCCAGGAAATACTAAGGTTTTCAGCCTCTTGTCTTGCATCTAGTAGGAGAAAATACCAAAGGGAAAATGCAACTGCCCTATGTCAGCTCATTTCTTCCCAGCTCTTCCTTCTCTAGAATGTGACTCTTTTATTCCCGATTGCTTCATTAGTTATCTGATAACTTCAGACAAATGTTTATTACTATTATTGTTGTTGTTGTTGTTTAACATACTTTGTCTAGTTCTTAGATGGAACATTGGTCTTTTGCAGGCTACTTCATCATACCTGAAGGTGGATATCTAACTTCATATTTTGTAGGGTAACTATGATGGGTGTAAAATTATAAGCTTTTATAAGGGTATAAAATTATAGCTTTATAAGCTATTTTCTTTAAACACTTTAAAGATAACATTCCAATTTCTGCAGGAACCCATTGTTTCTGTGGAAAATCATCTGTAATTCTAATTTTTACTTGCTAAATTTGAAGGTAACCATTCTTTATTTCTTTGCTTTCTTTCAAAGCAGTTCACCAAAGTGAAACCAAATAATCTCTTCTTATATCAAATTGACTATAACTATAGGCACACAGTCACACTAATCTGTAGATGAGGATAACACGTAGTTTTTAAGATAGTTTTATTGCATTTCTCTTCTTTATTCTACACAGTGAGAATGGATTTTAATATATAAAGATTTATTTCTTATTCAAAATATCATTAAATAAATAAATGCTTATAAAGTTGAGAGGGGAAAAGAGAAAATTAAAGAAATATATTAATTTTTTGAGGTGAATACTATAACATACCATATGTTTATATAAAAAAGTTGTTAAATGAATTATTTTAAAAATAAAATTCCACAATATTAAGTGATTTTTCAACAGAGAAATAATCCATAGCATGAATGCATCTATAGTATGCAATATATACATATACATATATATTTACAATTTTACTACTATATGGTAAAAATGAAGATTGAGGAAGCAGAGAGAAGAATTATGAGAATCTGATTTTTTTTTTCTGTGCATATATCAGCACTGTGACAGTGGAGATCAAGTGCAGTAGATGGGACTGAAATATATTGGGAGGTTTTATCTGCAGCAATGCTTTTCAAAATATCTGTGATGCGGGACCATTTTAAAAAAATCATCAATCATTTAAGGCAGTATTTTTTAAGATAAAAGTAAATTACTAAGAAAGGAAATGACAAAGAAAGCAAAAAATATAATCTCATTTGTTATTATTAGGTTCAACTGACATAAAATCATTTTGTTAAATGCTATAGACATTTTTAAATATTTGCTCTGTATTTCTCTTCTTTTCTCAACCAAAATTGCTACCAAATATTTTGTGGACCACACATTTAGTAGTGCTGATCTAGAGTATGTGAAGAATGAAATAGGAAAGGACATATTACTTTTAGGCTGTTACTTTTGTACTAATATTAACACAATTCTATGTTAGTACTTCTATAGTATTGGTATTGGCTTTATAGCTTGAACAACTGAATGAGTGTTTTAAGCATTTATTAATATTGATAAGGCTTCAAAATAATTATTTTGACAAGCAACAAATTCAGTTTAGTATGTAGCACATTAGGTTTGAAATGCTCTTGAGCATTCAAGATTAATATTTTATGTAGACACTTACCTTGTAAATCTCTCCCAGTTTCTTTGAAACTGAGATTATGTGGGATTTTATTTCTTCTTTTAATAATTTTGAATAGTATACGTTTAAAGTCATTGTATAACTGAAAATATTATTGTGTATTTCTCCTGCTTGAAAGTGAACCTTTTTTAATTTCTAATTTCAATTTTTGTTGGTACATAGTAGGTGTATATGTTTGTGAAGTACATGAGATATTTTGATACAGGTGTACAAGATGAAATAAGCACAACATAGAGAATGGAGTAGCCATTCCCTCAAGCACTTATCCTTCGAATTACAAACAATCCAATTATACTTATTTAGTTATTTAAAAATATACAATTAAATTATTATTGACTATAGTCACCCTGTTGTGCTATCAAATAGTAGGTCTTATTCCTTTTTTCTAAATATATGTTGTACCCATTAACCATTCCCACCTCCTCCCACCCCGCAACTACCCTTCCTAGCCTCTCTGTCTCCATGAGTCTGATTGTTTTAAAATTTAAATCCCACAAATATGTGAGAACATGTGATATTTGTCTTTCTATGCCTGGCTTATTTCACTTAGCATAATTACCTTCAGTTTCATCCATGTTGTTGCAAATGACAGGGTCTCATTCTTTTTTAATGTCTGAATAGTACTCCATTGTGTATATGTACTACATTTTCCTTTTCCATTCATCTGTTGATGGACATTTAGGTAGCTTTCAAATTTTGGCTGTTGTGAACAGTGCTGCAACAAACATGGGAAAGAAGGTATCTCTTTGATATACTAAGTTTCTTTTGTTTGGGTATATAACCATCAGAGGGATTGCTGGATGATATAGTAGCTCAATTTTTATTTTTTTGAGGAATCTCCAAACCGTTTTCTATAGTGATTTTACTAATATACATTCCCACCAATACTGTACAAGGGTTCTCTTTTCTCCACATCCTCTCCAGCTATTATGAGTGGGGTTACTATTTAAATTTCTTTTTCAGATTGTTAACTGTTGGCATATAGAAAGGCTACTTATTTTTGTATGTTGACTTTGTATCCTGCAACTTTACTGAATTTGTTTATCAGTTCCCATAGTTTTCTGGTGGAGTCTTTAGGTTTTTTCAAATATAAGAACATATCGTCTGCAAACAAGGAGAGTTTAACTTCTTCCTTTTCACTTTGGATGTCCTTATTTCTTACTCTTGTCCTTTTGCTCTCACTAGGACTTCCAGTACTATGTTGAATAACAGTGCTGAAAGTGTGAATCCTTGTGGTATTCCAAATCTTAGAGGAAAGTCTTTAAGATTTTTCCCATTCGGTATGATACTAGCTGTGGGTTGTCATATATGGCTTTTATAATGTTGAGGTATGTTCCTTCTATTCCCGGTTTTTTGACCATTTTTTTTTTTCATGAAGGGATGTTGAATTTTATCAATGCTTTTTCAGCATCAATTGAAATGATAGTAATGTTTTTGTCTTTCATTCATTTCATTCTGTTAATATGATGTATCATATTCTGTTAATATGATGTATCATATTCTGTTAATATGATGTATCACACTGATTGATTTGTATATGTTGGGCCATCCTTGCCTCCCAGGGATAAATCCAATTTGGTCGTGATGAATGATCTTTTTTTAAATATATATATAACTTTTATTTTAGGTTTGGGGGTACACATGCAGGTTTGTTTTATAGGTAAACTGTGTGTCACGAGGGTTTGTGATCTTGTTTTGTCAAAAGTTAGGTTAAAATTAATTGTGTTTTCAAGCTCTTGCTCATTTTCTTTTAAAATCCAGTATGGTCATTTCAGCACCAAATTTATACTTGTTTCTTTGTAAACATAGTCTTTAGTTTTCTACATATCTCTTAAAGATTTTGTAACTTTTAAATTTTCTTTTGCTTTTCTAAAGCTTTATGAGAATGTGGATAAGTATTCCTGTTTACTAAAATTTATTCTGCATAGCAATCGGAGAGCACTTACAATTTATTCAGTTTTAGAAAATGTTCTTTATTTCTGTGGTTATTTTCCCCACCAAACTCCAAACTCTCTGCCTACTCTTTTTGAGAAAGTATTGGAAATATTGAATTTTATTTCATGTACTTGAATCTTTATTCATCTTGATACCTTTAAGATAGAAATGAATCTCTTTTTTTGATCTTCTGGCTCCATAATTGGCTCTTCATCAATATTCACTCAGCAAATCAATCCCTACATTGCTTTTACTTATATCTCAGTAATCAAAAGTTGTCTTTAAAAATATATCTGTTTAGTTATATTTTATGCATGCACATTTTTCTGCATTTTCTCTCAGGATAATGACTGTATTTGTTCTAATGGTGGGATGTTAATTCTTGTTGAATTTGTTGCCTCACTGTCTTGGTAATTTTAGTTTTCTCATCACCTTTTATTTGAGAAAACCCATTTGGCCTTTTTAAAAATAAATATATAGCCTACCTTAATGAATAACAACCAGCCATCTTGCTTCTCCTACTCCATTGTAAATTTTACTTCTTTGATTTGTTGATAAGTATTACTGTTAAACTCAAGTATGTTGGGAGAATAAGAGGATATACTAATCTAAGTGTTGTCAATTTAATACTAAATTAATTATCCAGGTAAATGTCAAAGGAATTCCAACTACTTGTATCAGTAATGCTATGATTCAACACTATATTCTTTTCTGTACAATACACACTTAGTCTTTGTAGTGCAAATAAACTTATTGTCCATCATTAGTTTTTTTTTTTGTATTTTTGTTGATTTTTCTCTAATCATTTTTGTTGTCTGAAGCTTGTCTTCTAGCGCATTCTTCAAAAAATATTCATGGGAACAACATTTCCTACTTTCTTTCATATTGATAACACTTCATCTGTGACCTTTACTTTCGAAGATCTGTTGGTAAATCTAATATCTTTAGTTCATATTTTCTTTACATGGATGTCTTAGATATTTCACTACACATTCCACTAGCCTAAATAATTGAAGTTTCAAAGTCTGATGATGTGTTTTGCTGTCCCATACTATGTCCTTTGAGTTGGTATTTTTTTTTTTGCTTGACTCAAGATCTTTTATTTAATGTCTATTAATTTTGTGAGAATATGTTTCAGTGTAGATAATCCAGTTAATTTTCTAAAGGAACATGATATTTCCTTCCAATAAGTCATTTTAATTATTTCTGCTTAATTAAGAATGTTTCCTAGAACTCTAATTTTTAGTAGCTTTTCCTCTACTCTTGCTTTGATTTTCTTCATTAAAGACCCCTATTAAGTACATGATGGATCTTCTTTGTCATCTGAATGCTTCACTTTTCCTTTGTATGTCTTTCTGAAATTATTTTCTTCCTTTTTTTTAAAGGGGTTATTAAGGTATAATCACATAGAAGAACAAATATATCATAGATGTAAAACTAGATAAATTGTCATGATCTGAACATACCTATGTATCTCACACACAGGTCAAAAAATAGAACGCTAACACTACCATAGAAGTCGTTTCCTACCTTTTTTACATCTCTGTTGCCCCAGAGAGCTAACTGCTGTCATGACTGATAACAACTTGGTTGTGTCTCTTCTGAGTTTTTCATAAATAGAATCTCTACATAGACACCGAGGCCATTTTCTTTTTTTTTTAAGTGTTTTATGACGTAAAATTTTAAATTATATCCTGGCATGTCAGCACCTTCAGGATCTTTACTATTTATATCATTACCAAAACTATGCTTTTTTTCTTTATCTTGTTTGTTCTCCACTTGAAGTTTTATTTGTGTTGAGGTCCACTATAAAAAATACCCTGAATGTATGTTTTTAAATAGATTGTAAAATAATCGATACAATTTGTATTATTTGAATTAGTTTAGTTGTTTCAAATTGTAAGTATAATGAAGGGGATTTTTTTCTGATATGAAATAAAATTAACTTATTCTTCCTAACAATACCTCTTATGATATAGAGTTTGTTGTATGTATGAGTTTGAAATCTCAGATAAAACTAAATATGATCTCATTGTAGTTGAATAATGAAACTTGTTTTTGGAAGATGTAATTAATGAAACCATTATTAACATAATGTTATAAATTGATATTAGATAAAATATCAATTTATAACATCAACTAAGAAACCTGTTTATGTTTAACACCAAACAACAATTACCATAAAACCTGTGGAAATTTTTTTCACTTCTTTTTGATAAGATTTAATATAATAATTTTCTCTTACCTTATGAGTTATGACATGTGAAAATATTTTATGAATGGCAAATATTTATACAAATATTAAGTATTATGGCTACATTTAAACTATAATGAATTATGAATTGATTTTATATAGGTAAGCTAAATAAAATTAGCTGATGTGTATTTCTAAGTGAAAATTTTCCTTACTGGAAAATTAAATTTTCAAGTATAATTTCCCTATATGTAACACATTCAATACAAATTAGCGTATGTTTAAGGAGTTGTCTAATAAAAATTCAGTTTTTATTCCTTCACAGCTAATGAGGACTGCAAGCCTGAGTAATAAGTTGACAATGTATGTTCATTCAACAAACATTTTTGGACAGTTTCCCCATTACAAGAATTATTTTAGAAATTCAAACAGAAAAAAGACATATATTGCAATTTAGTTTTGGAAGGATATATATGGACATGGTAGGAACAGTAATGACCATGCTACTATGAGCATTTCATTAGGCTAGGATTCTTATATCATTTAATTCTTGCAATCATCTATGATGAAAAGTTTAAGTATTTTATTGGTGAAGAAACTGATGCTCAGACAGTTTTTTGACTAACCCAAAGTTTGACATACAGTAAGCACAAACTGAAGTAGGAATTTGTGCTTTTCTTTTTTTAATCCTTGAGTTCTTTATATCACATCCCACATTTGTTGGCAGATAAATTTTAGTGTACTTATGTGAGAGTGTTTTCTAAATATATAATTAATTACAAGTTGGGAGTTGTTTTTTTTTAAGTTCCAAGGTTAACTGATAACCTTTAAGAACCACCATGCATTGGGACTCAGAGAAAATGTTAGTCTGTCTGCATTTTCATAGAATTAGTATGGTTAATAAATCCTGGCAAATCATTCATAAGTGATTAAGTTACAATGCAGTATTTGACAGCATTATGATTTTGTTTTTAGTTACCTATTTCCATTCTGTATTAAAATGTGCTAGTGCATTTTTAAAGAACAATACATTTTCCTATTTCTGCTTATACATGAGCATTTTATAGCCAAATCAAATAACTCCAATTATTTCTAATGGCAATGTTAGGACTTAAATGATGAGAATCATTTGTTAGATTAAAGTGAATTTACTTCAGATTCCAATTATTTCTAGTGGTCGTAAATCTTTCAGTTTACCTTAAGGGCTCAAGAAACTCCTTCAATGTTTTTGTAAAGGAAAATTGTGCCTTAATGGGAAATGTTATTCTAGATGGGATCCTGCAGCAATCATGATGTGCTATCATTACAGAGATTGATTCTGCTGGAAAGATATAATTCCTAAAGTATCTTTGATGTAACCTTATGTTCCACGTTACAAAAGGAGATAAATTAGCCTTTCTAAGCCGTGACAAATATATGATCATCTGAAATCCAAGATTAAGTCTAAATAGGTTAAAAACAGAAAATACTAGCACATTAAGATCTCTTCTTACAGTTTAAAATTGTGGCAGAGTGTCCAAACATATGGATACTTCTTGGTCCATTATCAGAGTCAAAACTATGAAATAGGAGGCCTCCAGATATTATCTTACTAATTTGCCTTTTTGTAGGGGAATTATTTTATTTTTCAGATATCTTAATTTTTTAGAACCAAAGCCCACATTTTTAAAGAAAAATATATAACTATGTTTCTCAAGAGTAATGTATGGATGCCATTTAAATAAAAGCTACTCTATTCTGAGAGTTTTTAAATTATTTTTATTGTAATATTTTTAAATTTATAAAAACATAGGCTGTAAATTCTTACAGCTATAAACTATACAACCAAAGGCAAATTTGTAAATTGAATACAAGAAAAACAAAAAACCATTCTAATCAAAAGGATTAATTTTATGTAATGCCATTTGCTGAAATTGCATTGTTGCTCAGTGTTCCTTAGGTACCAATGCTATTGCACAGGTCCTTGTGAGCTTAACATGTCTATATTACCTCACAAGATCTGAAAAGTGAATTATTCTACCATTTTCCCCTAGTTGAACTACTGTAAGACATTTACTTATACATTGCGTTCTGATATAATTTGGTCTTTACATAGCAGTGATGAATATGGTATACACATAATTCTGTTTTTATTTCTATTATTTTACTACAATTAAAGTCATCATTTGGCACCAAAAAATATAAGCAAAAACATATTAGTAGGCATTGAAACTGAATAGCAAGTAATGAGTATTATCCAAATTGTTTTAAAATTATTTATTTACTTATATTTAATTCACAATAATTGTATATATTTGTGGGCATGATGTTATGTTTTGTTCTACATACATTGTAGAAAGAGTCAATCAAACTAATATATCTATCACCTCACCAACATTATTTCTTTGTGGTGAAAATGTTAAAAATACAAATATTTTAAAATTAAATTTGGCTTTTCTAGTAGTTTATTGTTATTATAATAATAAAACAAACAAACAATAAAACCAAGAGATGCTGACCTAGGTTAACAGGCATGGAAGAGTAGAGATGACATATCAAACAACTTATCAGCCTAAGGGAACTAGTGTATTTCAAATGAATTTAAGAGACATGACCCTCTAATCATCTTGGCAATATATCTCTGGTCCTCCATGATTAATTCTGAGGTTCCTTCTAGATTAATTAATATCTTAATTTTCAGAATATTTCTGTACTCTTTAAGCTGCAAACATCAGGCACATCAACTGTGTATATGCTATCCTTGAAATTTATACTCTAAAAAGCAATTCCAGGTATCAATACAATGGGGGAATTTAATTGTCCTTCCTAGGTGGGTTATTTTAATTTCCACAAAATGTATTCTTTATCTGTACATTTTGGAAGCTATATGTATTACAAATATCTTCTATCAGTTCATGATTCTTTGTCAATTTCTTTGTGGTATCTTTTGAAAAATATACTTTTAAATTTAAAATTATTTAAATTTAAATTTTTCATTTACAAAATTTTAGTCAATTTGACCAATTGTGTGTGTGTGTCCTATTTAATATATCCTTCCCTACTTCCTGTTCAAAAATTTTTTTTACATTTATGACAGATTAAAGATTTATTTTCACATTAAGTTCTTAATCCATTTGTAAATAATTTTTATTTGAGGAATCTGTTATGGGCTGAATTGTTGCCCCACAAAATTTATATGTTGAAACCTTAACCCCCATTACCTCAGAATATGATTATCTTTGGAGATAAGGTTTTCAAAGAGGTAATTAATTTAAGATCATTAGGGTGGGTCCTAATCCAATATGACCAGTGACCTTAAAAAAAGAGGACATTCAGATAGAAACATCAGGGATGAGCACACACAAGGGAAAGACCATGCCAGGACACTGTGAGAAGGTGACCACCTGCTAGCTAAGGGGAGGGGTTTCAAAAGAAACCAAACCTGCTGACACCTCAGTTTGGTCTTTTAGCTTTCCAAGTTCTGAAAAATAAATTTCTGCTGTTTAAGCCTCACAGTCTGTGGTATTTCATTAAGCAGCTATGGCAAACTAATAGACTATCACATTTTGTTTTCCACAAATGCAAGCAACCATTACAGGGGCATTTTTTAGTCTCTTCTCTTCCCACTGCTCTGCAGTACAACTTCTGTTCATGTATCAAGTTTGCATTTACGCGTGGATCTTTTTTTTAGGATCTCTATTCCATTTGATTACTCAGTCTGGCCCATTCTACACTATTGTATCTACTGCAGCTTGAAAATATAACTTGATAGAGCAAATACACTTACATATCATTACCTTAATCACCATGATTCCTTTTAAATTTAATATTTTTTTGAATTCATAGCCCAAGGTCTTATTAAGGCAAGGAAAACAACAGACTCTCAAGAACTACAAATAGTGAAGTGCCAAGAATGAACAAATAAATTTGAGAAGAAAAGTTAAAGTAATTGAAATGTTAGAAATGAAAACTATAATGGATTAAATTATTTAAAAAACCTCATTGGGTGGCTTAAACAATGAAAATACAGGTGAATGGACAATGTGGTAAGCTGTTAGATGTATCTAAAGTAATTCAACATGCCACACAGAAAGATGGAAAAATTTATATGAAAGAAATGGTAAGAGCTACATGAGAGAATATTAAAGTTTAACAGGTGTCATAGAATCACAGACAGAGAAACAGAAAATGGGTGCCTAATATTTGAAAGAAAATTGCTACAAGTTTTTCGTAGATAAGATATAAATTCACAGGTCCAGGATTTGTTAGATATCACTAGAAGCACTAAGAAAAATCAATCTGAGCCCAAACATGTTAGAGTATAAATATAGAACACAAAGGTAGAAAGAAAATGAAAATCTTTTATGCAGTCAGAAGAAAGGAAAAAAAAAAGAATGACAATTAGACAATAATAGAATTCTCAATTGCAGCAATAGAGGGCAGAAGAAAAATCTTCAAATTGTTGAGAAAAAAGTTATTAACAATCTACCTTTAGATTCCTACATATAGTACCTTTCAAGGAAAATTATGAATAAAACTGTCACCAAAATGGCCAGCACAAAGGTAATCCTTTAGGATACATTTCAAAAAGAAGAAAAATAATCTGAGATTAAAGCTCTGTGTTACCAGAAAGAATGATCAGCAAATCATATGATAAATGGGTATGTGAGCAGCTGACTATGTGATCTTCCTCTGTAGGAGTCCTGCAGCCCTAAATTTGGTGAGCTTTCCTCCAGACAAGTTTGCTGCTGCTTCTGCCTGTCTCCAGCGGCACCTACTGTCTGGAAACAGCCTCAGGACTCTTCAACTTTCTGCCTCAATAAAGGCATCTGGTTTCAATCAGTGCTCAGACACACCTGAGGGCAGCTTTGCCTGTGGCACCCACCCACAGGGAACCACAGTCTTCCCATTTGCCTCTTGCTCCTGGCTTCCAGCTTTGTTCCTAGGGTAGCATGTTTGTTTTGTTTTCTTTGAGTGTGTCTGTGTGTGTTTGAGGGGCATATTTATGTCGGGGTGGGTGGGGCGTGATGTGGTGTTATGATTACCTAAGGGTCTTCCTCTACTCTCATGTGGGCTAAAACTGGATGTTCTGCCCGTATATGTACTAGGGGGGCACCAAGAGCATCTGATTGGCCATGATGCTGGTCGCAGCCATTTAATACTTTCTTATCCTCTATAGATGACAAATGCAGCTTTTGTAGCTGTGAAGATACAATATATCTGAGGCAAAGCAGGGTTGACTTGTTTTGTTTCATAGAAGTAGGGACATTTCATTCTCCTCATTTTTAAATGTCATGAAAATCTTTGCAAACATAAAAAACCTTGCAAACAACAATATGTAACAGAAACAAAAACAATGACCAACAGTAGTTTAGAAAGTTATAAAGAAACAGAGGCTTTTTTTTGTCTTAATAACAATTCTCAAGGACTGCTAATTACCTCTTACATTGTTTTCCTGATTTCTTTGACCTGAATTTTGTTGTAGCACTTATTGCTAGAGTAAAGCAATGTTTTTTGCCCCTCCATCTATTCCATTTACTTTAGTTTATTACTTGCCGTTTTTAGTTATTAGATTAGAAGGGTCTGCTTAGTTCACATGTGTCTGTCTCTTTATATCTTTATCCATCTGGCAGTGGTAACTTAAAAGATTTTGAACTTTGGAACCTTATTAGAAGAGATATACTAAATATTTATATGCATAAATACACTAAAAAGTTTAATTCATTATGACACATGTAGTTAATAAATAATAATTTCTAAAATTCTCTTCCTATATTTTTAGAATAATAATAATGAACAAAACTGCTGTTTTGCTTTCCCCATTTAGAATGACTGCTCCCACGTAGAACTCCAGGTGGCCTTGTCCCTGTGGCATGTTAATTATTATGTAAGAATTGCTATGTTACATTTCTCCAAAAGAAAGTTATGGTCTGAGGACCATAAATGAGTGCACTAGGGTCTAAGATATTCCAGGAACTTTACAACTTGTCCTCTTATTTTTGATTTAGAAGGTCAGTTTTATGTATTCTGGGATCACCAGTGAACTAAGTTCTTTTGATTTTTTTTCATAAGTTTTGCTGATTTGTGTATATTTATTTGACGTTGTATTCTCCAGTATGGAAATATTTTCCTAATATCAGTATATATTTTTGTGTGAGAACTACTGAAATGTGACAAATATAAATCATTGCTTTTTGTGGGACAATCTTATTTTACCAAAGTAACTAGCTATAGTAATTTCATCTGCAGCAAGTCAGAATTTTGTTTATATGAACTTGCTCGCTAAAGGCTACGAGAGTGGCCTAGAATAGCTTTTGCTATTATACTTACCATGAATACTGTAGCATGAGCCTTTCTGCCAAATTTCTTGTCTTTTAGAAGCATTGGTTAAGAAGCTTTGGTGAGGAGTGGCTTTACTGTTTTCATATTGTAAGTCACATGAATCACTCTCCTGTTTACAAATTATGAAGTATATGAAGTACAAAAGCTCATTAATACAAGTGTTTTGTTTTGTTTTGGTTTATATTGCCATTTATGATTTGATTTTCTAAAGAAATTTTAGGTTTGCAGCAAAATTGATCAGAAAGGGTTCCTATTTACCTGCTGCTGTCATACATACACAACCCCCCAATATCAACATCTCCCACCAGAGTGGTACATGTGTTGTAAATGATAAACATACACTGACGCATCATCATCTCCCAAAGTTTGTAGTTTACATTAGGATTTACTGTTTTAGTAGTGTACATTCTGTGGCTTTGGACAAATGTATAATGAATAATATCATAGAGAGTATTTTCACTGCCCTAAAAATCCTCTATGCTCTGCCTATTGAGTCTCTTCCCACCCCAAGTCCCTGGCAATCATTGATCTTTTTACTGTTTCATTGTTTTGTCTTTTCCAGAATGTCATACATTTAGAATTACAGCACTTAGCCTTTTCAGATTTTCTTCTTGCACTTAGTATTATTTATTTAAGTTTCCTTTATGCTTTCTCATAGACATTTCTTTTTGGAAGTGAATAAATAGTATTTCATTGTCTGGGTGTATAAGGTTTTTTGGTCCATTTACCTACTGAAAAACATCTCTGTTACTTCTAAGCTGCAGCAATTGAATGAATGAGGGTGCTATAAATATCCAAGTGCAGGTTTTTGTGCAGACATAAGCTTTCAACTCCTTTGGAGAGTGATTGTTGGATTATGTGGACAGAGTACGTTCAGTTTGTGAAAAACTGACAAATTGTCTGCAAAGTGGTTGTACAATTTTATATTCACATCAGCAGTGAATTTGCCTGTTGCTCCACATCCTCACCAGCGTTTGATGTCAACAGTGTCCCAGATTTTGGCCACTATAATAGATATATAGTATTATCTCATCATTCTTAATTTGAGTCCCTGATAACAAATGATGTGGAGTATCTTCACATGCTTATTTTCCATCAGTGTATCACTTTTGTAAGGTGTCTATTTAGGTCTTATGCACATGAAAATAATCAGGTTTTTTATTTTCTTATTGTTGAGTTTTAAAAGATTGTCGTATGTTTTGAGTGACAGTCCTTTGAGTGACAGATGTGTCTTTGCAAATATTTTATCCCTGTCTGTGGCTTATCTTCTCATTCTCTTGAATATGTCATTTGCAAAGAAGTTTTTAATTTTAATAAAGTCCAGGTTATCAATCATGTTTTCCAATGGGTCATGCTTTTAGTCAGTATCTAAAAAGTCATCTTCATAACCAAGTTCTTTCATATGTTTTCCTATGCAATTTTCCAGTTTTATAGTTTTACATTTTACATTTAAGTCTATGATCCATTTTTAATTCGTTTGTGTGACAAGTAAAAAGTCAGTCTATATATGTATGTGTATATGTGTGTGTGTATATATATATACATAGCATATATATATATATACACACACAGCATATATATATATATATATATATATATATATATATATATATATAGCATATGGATGTCTAGTTGTTCCAGAAACATTTGTTGAAAAGACTATTTTTTTCTCCATTGTATTGCCTTTGCTTCCTTGTTAAGGATTAATTGACTATATGTGGTTCTAGTTCTAGGCTGTCTATTCTGTAAATTGTTCTATTTGCCAATTCTTTTGTCAATACTACACCATCTTGGTTATTGTAGCTTTACCGTTAGTGTTAAGGTCAACTAGTGTCAGTCCTCCGACTTTGCTGTTCTCTTCACTGTTGTGTTGGCTATTCTGAGTCTTTTGCCTCTCCACACAAATTTTAGAATGCATTTGTTAATATCCACAAAATAACTTGGGATTTTGTTTGAGATTGCATTGATCTATAAATTATAAAGAAATGACATTTTGACAATATTGCATCTTCCTATCCATGAACATGGAATATCTCTCCATTCTTCTTTGATTTCTTTCATTAGAGGTTTGTTGTTTTTATCATTCAGATCTAATGCATGTTTTGTCATATCAGATTTATATTAAATATTTCATTTTAGGAGTTGTTAATGTAAATGGTATTGTGTTTTTAATTTTTAACCCATTGGTATATTGCTGGTCTGTAGGAAAGTGATTGATGTTTATATATTAATCTCATTTCTCATAACTTTAATCACCTGTTAGTCTTAGAATATTTTTATTGATTTTTTTCAGATATGCTGTATAGATGACCATGTCATCTTGGAGCAACTATAGCTTTATTTCTTCCTTTCCAATGTGTTAATTTTTATATCCTTTTATTTTCTTATTGCATCAGGTAGGACTCCCAATACAACGTTGAAAAGCAGTAATGAAGAGAGATCTTCTTCCTTATTACTAATCCTGGCAAGAAAACTTCTAGTGTCTCACCACTAAGCATTTTGTTAGCTGTAGTTTTTTTTTTTTTAATCAAGTTAAGGAAGTTTCCCTCTATTCCTAATTTGTTCAGTGTTATTATTTTTTTTATCCTGAATGGATGCTGAATTTTGTCAAATGCTTTTTCTGGATCACTTGAAAACATTATGTGATTTTTCTTTTTCTTTTCTTATAGAGACAGAGTCTTGCTCTGTCACCCAGGCTGGAGTGCATTGGCACGATCTTGGCTCACTGCAACATCCATCTCCTGGGTTCAAATGATTCTCCTGCCTCAGCTTCCCCAGCAGCTGGGATTACAGGCACCTGCCACGAGCCTGGATTTTTTTTTCTTTTTTCTTTTCAGTAGAGACAGGGTTTTATCATGTTGGCCAGGATGGCCTCAAACTCTTAACCTTAAGTGATCTGCCCACCTTGGCCTCCCAAAGTGCTGTGATTACAGGCATGAGCCACTGTATCTGGCCTGATGTTTCTTCTTTAGTGTGTTGATTACAATAGTTGATTTTGGAATATTGAATCAAACTTGCATGTATGAGATAAATCTCCACTTGGTTGTGGTGTGTAATTCTTTGAATATATTATTAGATTTTATTTGCTAATATATGGTTGAGGATTTTTGCATCTATGAGAGATATTAGTCTATAATTTTTATCTTTTTTTTTTCTTCTATGTTTTTGTCTGGTTTTAGTATTGGGGTAATGCCAGCTTCATAGAATGAATTAGGAAGTATTCCTTCTGCTTCTGCTTCTATATTCTGGAAGAGATTAGTGTCCATGGGACATGAGATTAATGTCCATGGGATTTTTACTGATGCCCCCTCTTTCCTTTGTCTCTCTTTTTTCCTCAGTTAGCCTTGCTAGAGGCTTAGTGATTTTATTGATCTTGTCAAAGAACTAGTTTTTGGTTTTGTTAATTTTCTCTATCAATTTTCTGTTTTCAGTTTCATTAACTTATCCTTTATTTGTTGTTATTTCTCTTCTCTTCTTACTTTGGACTTTATTTGCTATCCTTTTTCTAGTTGCCTAAGGTGAAAGCTTAGATTATTGATTTTAGATCTTTCTTCTTTTCTAATGAATGCATTCAGTGTGATAAATTTCTAAGCACTGGTTTTGTGGCAGTTTGTGTTACTTTTGGCGGACTATCCTTGAGGAATATTACCTTGATTCTAAAAAGTTCATTTGCAAAGTTAAGCCTATTTTTCAGCAGTTGCAGATTTGCATGTCTATACTTATGTGATAACTACTGCTAGAAACAGTGATAACAATCACGTTGAGTTACAAATTAAGAAAATAGTTTAAGACATGTCTAACATGATGATTCAGCTTATACTAACACTTGCAAATTAAACAAGATTATACTGTAGATGCTACTGTCAATTGCTAATTTTTTCACAGGAGTTCTTATTTGTTTGCTGGCTATGGAACCAGATCAAAGTGGATTTCTGCTACTCTTAAGAGTTATACAGTCCAAACATGCAAGGGTAAGGGTATTTATGTATAAATGTGCTTCTCTGATTTTTATGAAGTTTCAGAAGAATCCTTTCTCGAGCATTCTGACATCACCTACTGAAGTGACACCATTTTTTTATGGAAGAGTGGTGTGTCTACGCCAAATTTTATAAAATACATTCTCACCTTCTTAAAATCATACGGAAGAGGAAGTGAGCATAGCCTGGCGGGGAACAGGGACAGCTTCTGCTTTTCTCCTTTAACACATACTCCTGGTGTGTGATTGCATCAATATTATTTTTTAAAGGCAAAATGTTGGCATAAAGGTTTAAAGAATCACCTGGGGAGTTTGTGAAAATACTGTTTTTTTTTTTTTTTTTTTTTTTCGGCCCAGCTCCAGGTCAATTAAATGAAAATCTCTATGGGTGAGGACTTAGGAGTCATTACATACAAACTCCAGAGTAATTCTAAAGTGCAGTTAGTTGAAGAGCACTTCATTATAAGAATTAGTATAAAAGTAGCAGTCTGTTTAAAACTCAGTTGAAATTCTTGGTTAGTTTTTTGAGATGCTTATAAAGATTATTAAAAATTTGGACATATTTATATGCTGCTTTCCTACCAATCGATGACATAGGTCTCCCCAATTTTTTCCTGTCCTGCCCTCAAACTTACTCCACCTGATGTAAGAAACTGACTCTGCTTCTCCAAAAAAAAAAAAATAGTATATGATCCAAGGAATATTCTGGTTCGTATAGTGCTATGGGTCTTTTGAGTTCTTTTGGCTTGTAACCTTAAGTGATTTAATGTGAAGTTAACACATTAGTCTGTCCAGGGTAAATGGAAGTAAAATGGAAGTAGTGCTTATTGGTTGCAAGTGTAATTACTAATGAGCACAGGTAAATCTGGCAGAGATTGAAAAACACATTTTTATTCTCTAACTTATAAAATTATTCTAAAGTTACTTGGAGTATTTCTTTGTACAGAATTTACTACTGTTAATTTCATATATGCTGGGTATTTCTCATATTATTTCCTATCACAGCAAGTAATGTGTAATGTCTATTTAAAGTGACAATATAAAAATATGAGGAAAGTAAGTCTCACAAGCATAGCAGATCTTGGCATGAAAATTATAACATCTTCATTGACAAGAGATGTGACTGACTAGTCAAAGAGGATGCCAATTTTAATATGAAACGAAATGAAACGAAAGTCTAAAAGAAAGTATAAAGGACATAATATATAGATGAGGTTTTATCTCATTAAGAAATGTCTATCTTTTATTCTTAGCAAAAGAGATGATTGTTCTACTGGGCCTATTTTGAATTATTGATTTTATTCATTACAGGTTTTCTTGTGTTTATCTTTCACCCTCAATTAAGGTTTAAGCCTCTGAAAAACTCTTCAAAGCTTATTGCTGTTGTTTGAGAACATTTTTCCCCAGGTATATTTTCTTTACTTTGAAACATTTTTTTTTCTATGACTTCTGAATATAAAGCAAAAGTAAATGGGCACACAAGAGAAAATATGAATACTGGACTAATTATATACCTGTGTATTTTGTGAAGCTGACACTATTCAATAACCTAAAACCTAATGAACTTTTCCCATGATTGAAACTTTCAATTATTCACTCATGGTTACATTGGTACTTAAACATTTCAGTTATTGCCACAGCTTATTAGAATGTAAATGAAGACCAAAGATTGAATTAGCAAATCAGGACCTGATTAAGTCAGGATTAGTTTACACAGATTTTCTTGCAGATGTCAGTTTCTCCTCTCAGGCACTAACGATATACATCACATCAAAGCAACTCTATTATTCACAAAATCTTCATCTGGGCTTTTAGCAGTACTAGATGTGCATGTACACGGATTCATAATACGGACAGTTCTGCCAGTTGCTACTAGTCAACAAGAGATTCAAAGTTTGTATAAATAATGTTCCTGGAATAAAGGCTTGTTAATGTTTGATTGCAGTTTCATTGTTTCTAACACTTCTCATTAGTACTGTCACATTTGCTTCCCAGAATAAACTCGCCACACTGCAGTTCACCAAACTGGGTTGTATGACTATATTGGAGAGAACTTAATGAATTGGTCAAGCTCTTTCAGATGACTAGCCTAGGTTAATTAACTTTTCCAAGTAAAACAAACATTTAAAACTAAAAACAGTATTTTTAATTAGTATCTTTGTATCTTTTCTTTTTTTTTTATCATACTTTAAGTTCTAGGGTGCATGTGCACAACGTGCAGGTTTGTTACATATGTATACATGTGCCATGTTGGTGTGCTGCACCCATTAACTCGTCATCTACATTAGGTATATCTCCTAATGCTATCCCTTCCCCCTGCCCCCTCCCCATGACAGGCCCCGGTGTGTGGTGTTCCCCACCCTGTGTCCAAGTGTTCTCATTGTTGAATTTCCACCTATGAGTGAGAACATGTGGTGTTTGGTTTTCTGTCCTTGCGATAGTTTGCTCAGAATGATGGTTTCCAGCTTCATCCATGTCCCTACAAAGGACATGAACTCATCTTTTTTTATGGCTGCATAGTGTTCCATGGTGTATATGTGCCACATTTTCTTAATCCAGTCTATCATTGTTGGACATTTGGGTTGGTTCCAAGTCTTTGCTATTGTGAATAGTGCCGCAGTAAACATACGTGTGCTTGTGTCTTTATAGCAGCATGATTTATAATCCTTTGGGTATATACCCAGTAATGGGATGGCTGGGTCAAATGGTGTTTCTAGTTCTAGATCCCTGAGGAATCGCCACACTGTCTTCCACAATGGTTGAACTAGTTTACAGTCCCACCAACAGTGTAAAAGTGTTCCTGTTTCTCCACATCCTCTCCAGCACCTGTTGTTTCCTGACTTTTTAATGATTGCTGTTCTAACTTGTGTGAGATGGTATCTCATTGTGGTTTTGATTTGCATTTCTCTGATGGCCAGTGATGATGAGCATTTTTTCATGTGTCTGTTGGCTGCATAAATGTCTTCTTTTGAGAAGTGTCTGTTCATATCCTTCGCCCAATTTTTGATGGGATTGTTTGTTTTTTTCTTGTAAATTTGTTTAAGTTCTTTGTAGATTCTGGATATTAGCCCTTTGTCAGATGGGTAGATCACCGATCCCACAGAGATACAAACTACCATCAGAGAGTACTATAAACACCTCTACGCAAATAAACTAGAAAATCTAGAAGAAATGGATAAATTCCTCGACACATATACCCTCCCAAGACTAAACCAGGAAGAAGTTGAATCCCTGTATAGACCATTAACAGGCTCTGAAATTGAGGCAATAATTAATAGCCTACCAACCAAAAAAACGTCCAGGACCAGATGGATTCACAGCCAAATTCTACTAGAGGTATAAAGAGGAGCTGATACCATTCCTTCTGAAACTATTCCAATCAATAGAGAAAGAGGAAATCCTCCCTAACTCATTTTATGAGGCCAGCATCATCCTGATACCAAAGCTTGGCAGAGACACAACAAAAAAAGAGAATTTTAGACCAATATCCCTGATGAACATCAATGCAAAAATCCTGAATAAAATACTGGCAAACCGAATCCAGCAGCACATCAAAAAGCTTATCCACCATGATTAAGCTGGCTTCATCCCTGGGATGCAAGGCTGGTTCAACATACGCAAATCAATAAACGTAATCCATCATATAAACAGAACCAAAGACAAAAACCACATGATTATCTCAATAGATGCAAAAAAGGCCTTCGGCAAAATTCAACAGCTCTTCATGCTAAAAACTCTCAATAAATTAGGTATTGATAGGACATATCTCAAAATAATAAGAGCTATTTATGACAGACCTACAGCCAATATCATACTGAATGGGCAAAAACTGGAAGCATTCCCTTTGAAAACTGGCACAAGACAGGCATGCCCTCTCTCACCACTCCTATTCAACATGGTGTTGGAAGTTCTGGCCAGGGCAATCAGGCAGGAGAAAGAAATAAAGGGTACTCAATTAGGAAAAGAGGAAGTCAAGTTGTCCCTGTTTGCTGATGACATGATTGTATATTTAGAAAACCCCATCGTCTCAGCCCAAAATCTGCTTAAACTGATAAGCAACTTCAGCAAAGTCTCAGGATACAAAATCAATGTGTAAAAATCACAAGCATTCTTATACACCAGTGACAGACAAACAGAGAGCCAAATCATGAGTGACCTCCCATTCACAATTGCTTCAAAGAGAAAAAAAATACCTAGGAATCCAACTTACAAGGGATGTGAAGGACCTCTTCAAGGAGAACTACAAACCACTGCTCAATTAAATAAAAGAGGATGCAAACAAATGGAAGAACATTCCATGCTCATGGATAGGAAGAATCAACATCGTGAAAATGGCCATGCTGCCCCAAGTAATTTATAGATTCAATGCCATCCCCATCAAGCTACCAATGTGTCTCTTCACAGAATTGGAAAAAACTAAAGTTCATATGGAACCAAAAAAAGAGCCTGCATTGCCAAGTCAATCCTAAGCCAAGAGAACAAAGCTGGAGGCATCATGCTACCTGACTTCAAACTATGCTACAAGGCTACAGTAACCAAAACAGCATGGTACTGGTACCAAAACAGAGATATAGACCAATGGAACAGAACAGAGCCTCAGAAATAATGCTGCATATCTACCACTATCTTATTTTTGACAAACCTGACAAAAACAAGAAATGGGGAGAGGATTCCCTATTTAATAAATGGTGCTGGGAAAACTGGCTAGCCATATGTAGAAAGCTGAAACTGGATCCCTTCCTTACACCTTATACAAAAATTAATTCAAGGTGGATTAAAGACTTAAATGTTAGACCTAAAACCATAAAAGCCCTAGAAGAAAATCTAGGCAATACCATTTAGGACATAGGCATGTGCAAGGACTTCATGTCTAAAACACCAAAAGCAATGGCAACAAAAGCCAAAATTGACAAATGAGATCTAATTAAACTAAAGAGCTTCTGCACAGCAAAAGAAACTACCATCAAAGTGAACAGGCAACCTACGGAATGGGAGAAAATTTTAATGTATATCTTTTCTTTAAAAATATCAGAATATTTAACATATTTTATAATTATTCAGTATAAAACTGATTTTAGTGTGATTTTATATACTTATGCTTTCATACATAAATTATGTAAGAACCTTACAAATTAGCATTCCTCCAAATTCTTGTGGTTAAATAAAAACAACATGGCACTTTTCCCTGGTTCTTTTACTATTTCTATTACTTCCTTTAATTGAGCCTATGAGAGCATCTATGTCTGTCTACATAAAATGCATTTAGAGGCCATTCTCTTACATTACGGAAAAAAATGATGGCAGTAGAGGCAAAGATCAGTATTTTAATTATCTAGAATATTGGGAAAGAAGAGTCATGTGGGTAAAGAAAATCTTTAATAGAAATGTGTTTTTATAACTTGTCAAACTATTTTGTTTATTTTTGTATTTTGACAGATGTGACAATGAATGGTTTTAAGTTTTATTCATCTATTAGTCTGTCTTTTCCAGCTTTTTCCTAAGAAGAAATGTCCAAAAATTAAATGTGTTGAAATATCCAAAACCAAATAGAGCAGAAACAAATGAAAAGGAAAAAGTAACCTCCATAATCCACTTACTTGTATGGACCCCTTCAATAGGAATAGTTTACACTTCAGTAAATTACTCATCAGGCCCACTGCCGCCTGCGATTTTTCAGAATCAGGTCATATGAGCTGGTCCTTTTCAGGAAAATCTGAAGGATGAAAACACACTGCAAATATAATAGCTAGTCAGCCACAAGGATGATCCTTTCCAGGTAGAAATTACTTATTTGGCAAATCCACACATGCTGCGTGCTACCAAGGTGGCAGAAGTAGGATGTCCTGCATATTGTTTCTGGCTTCATTTCAGTGACAAATAAAGTGGTTCTCAGCCTTTATAGGATTTCATGGAAGGAATCAGATGAAAGGGTTCCTTCCTAGTTAGGGTTCTGGCCCTGTCTTATATCAGCTTTCTGGACAGGTTTCTCTTGATTTATCTTATTCAGAGGACTGTTTGAAGATTTTATGGTGTGTACCTCTTCTTGCTTCAATCTCTCAATATGAGTATTTTCTTTATCTTACTTCAGGTGTTAAATTGGTAATTAATTTTCAATTGACCTTACAGACATAATGTTTGACATAGAAATGGACTCAACTAAATATTGATTTTTAATGATTTCACGAATTATTAGAAATCACATAAAGGAATAATCCCTCCTCTTATTCTGAATCAATAAAACCTTTGTTGACAGCTGCTTCATAGCCTCGATTGAGAATCACTGGCCTGTTTACACTGGCTGGATCTATGAAGAGTCTTACCCTGGGTTTGAAGGGAGGGAGGTAACTTGGGCTATATCCTAGATCTTTTGAAGAGAAAAGGATGCATTTCTCAAAAAACTAGAGGAATTGATATAGGACTTGAGCTTTATAAATTGGGATGGTAGGAAGAAAATAATTTAGGTTATACATTATATCACCAAAAAATATTTTGCTCCTACTTATCCCAATTGGAGAGTTTTTTTTTTTAGTGGGTTGAAGATCATTCATTTATAGTTTCCTCATTTTCAAAATTTGACACCTTAGCCTTAAGATAATATGAACACATAAGAATTAAATATTTAAAAAGTGATAAAGCTAGAATTTGACCCTAGATGATGAAATGTAAGAGCTGCTGTCATGCATATACTTGTTTTAAGCATATACCAGTCATAATCTGCTCCAGTATTTACATTTACCCAAATGTATCCATTTTTTAAATTTAAATTAATTCTTGTGATATTTCTTGGTAAAACACAGAAACGAGTGAGAAAAAAGGTAAATAAGTCTAATTTTTAAGAAACAAGATAAACATTAACATTTTCTATTTTCTTTTAGTCTCTAGTCTACATTCTATATGTAGTTAAAATAACATAATTTTCTAACATGCATTGTTAATAAACATGATTTCAAAAACATTTGTATATTACTGAAAACCTACATAAAATAACTTCTATGTTAATAAGATATTCTGCTTACCTAAAACAGTATCAATACATGTTCATCAAAAAATACAAAACACAATAAACAGCAAAACTAATGTGGCACTTACATTGTGCCAGGTAGAATAATAAGAGTTTCACTTGTGTTAGCTAAACTGTAATAAAAACTCTAAGCTTTTAGCTACTGTAACGTAATATTTCTAGATAGTATAAATACATGAATTTATAACAAGTTAAAAGCTTTCACTTCCCAGAAATAAATTCTCTTGTTTATATCAGGTATAGTATTCAATATAGTATATCTATATATGTATACATATATATATAGAGAGAGAGATGAAATAAATGGATTTAATTAACTCCCATTTGTTGATGTATAGGTAGTTTCTATTATATAATGAATGCTGTGATGAAAAAACTTGTGGCTTAACATATTTCTGATTTCATATTTGTGTCTGTGTCTCTCAATGTGGGATGTGCATTTGAGGAAATACAAGGGTGTGCCAAGATGCTCTCAGAGACATGGAATACACATGTTACATTTTTGTGAAGTTTAACTTACTCAAAGGTCTAGTTAAAAATGCTGAATTTTTTAAAACGTATCTATTCAACTCAAAAAGTTTTTACTGAGTGCCTATTATATCCCAAGAAGTTTTTAGAAGTCAAGTGAACCAGACGTATTTTATGCATCCCTCAAACTCTCTTGGCTTCAAGTGACTCCTGAGTTTCCTTCTTACTTTTTTTTTCTGTTATATGCCATCTATTCTATGTAATTATAGTCTGAAATAATTTGACATTTCTTTCCAAATGCATACAAAGAAAATAAATTTAATGCCTTTATATTATTGTTTGCAATCTCGTATTATAAGGTAAAAATTCTAGAAAGAAAGGCACAATGTGCTATTAAGAAATAGGAAATCTGTCTAGCAGGAAATAACAGCTGTGTTAAACCTAGAGCACAATCAGAGAGAATAGGGTATGTCACTCCTTCTGTAATGTCACACAGTGAGAGGCGCTGGTCAGCTGCATTAAACATGCTACAATGTTAGATTCATCTGTACATCTAAAGAGGTCAAAGCAGCTATCTTCATAAATTGTTGAAATTGTCACTGTGCAAACAGTATTTTTAAAAATTCGATTACAGAAAATTAAATGGTGATACTCCTGAATGCATTTAAATCATGTCACAGTTATACTTAATCAAATGTTATTTACAAACACCATTAAATGATGTTTCATTCCGTTTCTCAACTCAGCGAGTTCTCAGATATAAAATTACAAAATTTTCTAGTTTGTGTTTTTGATACTATTCTAATTAGTTTCTACATTTTTAACTGAGGTATAAAATACATACAATAATGAGAACACATAAGTGTAGAGCTCAACATTTCAAAAACTGAAAACAAACATATAATGGGCATTCATATCACGAAACAGAACGTTCTTCAATTTGAACTCAAGCAAAAGTGCCCCATGCCTACAAAATCCTTCCTTGTCATGAATCTATAAAAAAACCATTCCCAGGGTTCAGAGAGGAAATAGCTGCCTATGCTTCAAGGGCTCCACATTCTGGCATTTTGGACTGTCAGGTCCAAGTTATTTTTCAGTCCTCTGATGCTTATTAAAATATATTTACCTAGGAATTTTCTAGTTGTTGGCATTGGGACTGTTAGCATGTGGTAAACTGCTGTATTCTATTTGGTGTAATAAACTCTCATTCTTCATTGTCTTTAAAGACAGCACTCCAATTACAACTTACTGTTTTATAATAAGGAGCTGGCAAAATCAATCTAACAGTTGTCAGATAGTCAAATATTGGCTTTATTACTGGGTAACTGGAGTGAGACTAGATAAACGTTGTATATCTTTGGAAATAAAAGTGTAAGAAATAACTGCATGAGTCTACTACATTATATAGATGTTTAAAATAAAATCAGGAATATTTCAAAGAAAAATAATTTTAATTGATAAATATTTTGGCTTAAGTATAAGTACAAAATCCCCAATAAAAAGGGGAACATTCTATAGGCTGTCTGTTTACTCTGTTGATAGTTTCTTTTACTTTGCAAAAGTTCTTTAGTTTAATTAGGGCCCTCTTGTCAATTTTTGCTTTTGTTGCAATTGCTTTTGAGGACTTACTCATAAATTCTTTGCCAAGAATAATATCAAGAAGGGTACTTCCTAGATATTCCTCTGGATTTTTATAGTTTGAGATCTTACATTTAAATCTATCATCTATCTTGTGTTAATTTTTGTGTGTGGTGAAAGGTAAGGGTCTATTTTTATTCTTCTGCATAGGTCTGGCTAGTTATTCCAGCACCATTTATTCAAAAATTATGCATCTGACAAAGGTCTAATATCCAGAATCTGTAAGAAACTTAAATCAACAAGCAAAACACAAATAACCACATTAAAAAATGGGCTAAGGGCATGAACAGGCACTTCTCAAAAGAAGACATACAAGTGGCCACAAAAATATGACAAAAAAATGCTCATAATTACTGGTCATCAGAGAAATGCAAATCAAAACCAACCACAAGGAGATACCATCTCACACCAGTCAGAATAGTTATTATTAAAACATCCAAAAGCAACAGTTGCTGGTGAGGATGCAGAGAAAATGGAATGCTTATACACTGTTGGTGGGAATGTAAATTAGTTCAGCGACTATGGAAAGTGGTTTGGAGATTTCTCAAAGACCTTAAAACAGAACTGCCATTCAATACAGCAATCCTATTACTGGGTATGTACCCAAAGGAAAATAGATCATTATGCCAAAAAGATACATGCACTCATGTCTTACATGATCACAGCATTATTCATAATAGCAAAGACATGGAATCAACCTAAGTGTTGATCAGTGGTGGGATGGATACAGAAAATATACACCAAGGAGTACTACATGGCTATAAAAAAAAGAATAAAATCATGTCCTTTGCAGTGACATGGATGGAACTGGAGGCCATAATCCCAAGCAAATTAACACAGGAACAGAAAATCAAATGCTCTCACTTACAAGTGGGAATGAAACATTGAGCACCCATGGGTATAAACATGGGAACAGTGGACACTGGGACTTCTAGTGGGTGGGAGGCAGAGAGAGAGCAGATGGGTCAAAAAAACTACCTATTTGGCATTACGCTCACTACCTGGTTGCAATACACCCATCTAATAAACCTGCATATATACACCTGGCATCTAAAATTAAGTTGAAATTTAAAAAGTAAATAAAAAGGGTAGCAAAAAAGGCAAATGCATGAATTTCTCTCTCTTTCCAATTACTGTATATAGACAGGCTTCCATGATAGGTGAACATATTAGGGGAATCCATATAGTAAGTGTGTTCAAGCTGTTTTGAACTAAGAAGTAAAATTACGCTGAAAAATAAAATATATGCACCTAAAAAACAGATTTTAGTCATCAAAAAATCTGTGTTTGAACATCTAGTTGAAAGAATTACAATAATTTGTATTCTCAGTGTGTAGCTGGATGATAGAGAAGATGCTAATATTTTGGGAAATTAATTAGTTTTATCTTCTAAATGTATACTTATGTTTGTAAGCACTCAGTGATACTTTTATTTAAAAAATGGCTTTTGTAAGCAAGACACTGATTAGCAAAACATAAGAAGTATAAAAATTCAAAGATTTTTCAAGCACAGCATTAGCAGTTAATTTTGGAATTAAAGCGTTATCTACAACATGCAAGAATATTGTATTGAATAGATAAGTTTTTGATCAGAATTTAAAAATCAGAATGTGTGTGTTGTGTGTGTTGTATGTTATATTATAGATCATTTGGTGATTCTTTAGAGCTTATTGTACCTCCTAACAAGCTAAAGTAGCATTTGGTTTAGCTTGATATGTCTCTGTTTTTTTTTTTTTTCTTAAGAAGATAGCATTAGGAGAAATACCTAATGTAAATGACGAGTTGATGGGTGCAGCAAACCAACATGGCACATGCATACCTATGTAACAAACCTGCACGTAGTGCACATGTACCCTAGAACTTAAAGTATAAAAAAAAAGAATATCACAGATATGAGTAAAAATAAGAAACTGAGGCCAGACATGTTTGATTGATTTACCATGGAAACCTGCAAATAAACTCTCTAAAGAGAATAAATTCTATCCAAAACATAGGATAGGCTAATGGGGGGAGGGTATCATTTGGATGTAAGAAAGACTTTGGGATCTTGCAAAAGAGATCATGTTTGGGGAAGAGTTGTGCTATATTTAAAAGGAATAATAAAAATAGAATTGTTGTTCATTTTCCTGAGAATACTGACAGGAATTCTCTGGTTCTTTGTGAAAGGGAATATTTTAAAAATGGCTTTTCATTTAATTTTTTGTTCCAGAGTACTGTGAAAATACTAGTGGCACCTACTGCTAAAATTCTTAAAACAGCAAATATCACACTTTTTTTTCATGGCAGCCAGAGTTTTATACAAAAGTAAACAACTCAACGAATCAAACCTGATGGGCTTTGGAACACACTTGCAAAGTCAGAGCCATTCATCAGAGACTGCTTTGTGATCAGAATCAGAAACTATTAGGGACTTACTAGAAAAACAGAGTTAGGCAGGACCATATGCTTTCTCTAAAATGAGAAAAATCAATTTTCAAAAAATATTCCCCATGAAATTACAAACTATAGATCAATTTTATTCACATTCATAAACACTTCAATTCTTAAGATGTTAAGAGTACTTTCTAGATGAAGATATTAAGCAGTTGTCAAATAAGCTTTTATAAGTAAAATCATTGCCCTGCTACCCTGGCTGAAGTGAGTCATTGAAGGTTTGGCTATCAGAAACAAGTATTTAAAATTTCTGGAACCACTGATATGGATTCTTTGCCACTAGGATCTGGAGAAACCAACTGGAATATTATGCTTATGTCAGAAAAAAAGTGGATTTGGGTTCTTGTTCTAAAAGATAAGAAAACATTTCATGTATGGATTGGGACAATCATATAGAAGGCTGATGGTATTAGTTATTTCTGTACTATCAAACCCAAAACTTGTGTTTGTGTTTTGATTGTGGGCTGAATCACTGCTGTAGAAAGTACATAAAGCTGGTTGGAGTGTTTCTCAGAAAATTATATTGAGTTTAGGAAAACATTCTAGAAGAAAAACAGAAATGAGTTGGGTGTGGTGGCTCACGCCTCTAATCCCAGCACTTTGGGAGGCTGAAGCGGGTGGATCACCTGAGGTCAGGAACTCTAGACTGGCCTCACCAATATGGTGAAACCCTGTCTCTACTGAAAATGCAAAAATTAGCTGGGCATGGTGGCACATGCCTGTAATTCCAGCTACTCAGGCGGCTGAGACAGGAGAATGGCTTGAACCCAGGAGGCGGAGGTTGTGGTGAGCAGAGATTGTGCCAGTGCACTCCATCCTGGTGACAGGGCGAAACTCTATCTCAAAAAAAAAAAAAAAAAAAGGAAAAAAGAAAAAAGAAAGAAAAAGAAAATTGTCACATAATTCAGAATGATATATAATTCAGATTTGAAGGAATTCAGTAGTCCACCAACAAGGATATTAGAATGAGTCTTGGCACACCAAAAGCCCTACAAGGTCAGCAGGGTGGAGGAGGCCACTGAAGACATAACTGTGTACCCTAATGGTCTTTGGTTACCTAGAGCCTGGGATGTTAATGTTAACATAGGCATTGGACCAATGTAAGGTGGATATTAATAACTGAGAAGATAAAATAACACCAGAATATTTGAAGAACTATAGCTCTAATGGAATTGCCCACTAAAAATTTTATTGAAGAGAAGAAGGAGTGCTTTTTTTGTGGATTTGGATTTCAAATTCACACCACCTGCTTGGTGTGGGTAATTCCAAGCTGAGAAATTAATTGAAAATTGTGTTTTGGCACATGACAGAAGCTAACACAAATCCTTTCAAAAAGAATATATCCTCAACATGATGCTCAAAAAATTTCCATATTAAAAAAGCCAGCTTAAAAATGCCACTTTTGGCCGGGCGCGGTGGCTCACGCCTGTAATCCCAGCACTTTGGGAGGCCGAGATGGACGGATCACGAGGTCAGGAGATTGAGACCATCCTGGCTAAAACGGTGAAACCCCGTCTCTACTAAAAATACAAAAAATAATTAGCCGGGCGTGGTGTGGGGCGCCTGTAGTTCCAGATACTCTGGAGGCTGAGGCAGGAGAATGGCGTGAACCCGGGAGGCGGAGCTTTCAGTGAGCCGAGATCGCGCCACTGCACTCCAGCCTGGGCGACAAAAAAAAAAAAAAAAAAAGCCACTTTTGGCTACCATGAAACAGCTTGTATGAGACTAAACCCCAGTTGTCTGAAAGTACCAGAGAACATACAAGGTAGCAGGATTTGAGTACAAAGAATCTCAAAGGAAAATGCATGGTAGAGAAAATAACATTTTCTGCCACTTTTCAACTTTGATGTATTCACTAATTACAATATGGTGCTGCTCCAACTGACTGAGCCAAAAGAGGCACCTCAGCTTCCACTAGCCTCACTGTCTCACTGTCCTAGAGAGACAAACATTGGAAGGTAGCACTTCTTAGGCAGGCAACAATTGACAAAAGCACTGGGAAAAAGGAAACTTGAGAGAAGAGAGCTGACATTCTACAGTGCTCTGCCTCTCTCAAAGCACTTGCTGAAGGTTGTAACAAGAGGATAAAAGACTAAGCAGTTAGTCAGTTTTATTGAGCTGGAGACACACACAAAAATATCACTTAGGGATCACCAAGAGAGAGGCCTAGTATAAACACTTGGCTTGCAGTTGAGATCCCAGAAAGGCTTTCAGTTGAGATATTCAATGAGTAATGTATATTATAAATAGATCAGCCCTCACAGAGATGGATACGTGGCCTGATAACTTCAGTCTCTGATTGAAACAAGAAGAATTGCTCCTATTCTAACTGCCTGGCAAAACAAATGAATTGTTTCTGAAGGAGAATCACATGTAGGTCATCTGCCTTACTTTATATGTAATAGCCAGCATGAAAAAAAAATCAAGACAGAAATAAATACCTATAAATGAAGACAAAAAGACAAGAGACACAAACCCATATGTGATTCTGATCCTAAAGCGATTCAACATAAAATTATAAGTAATTTTGTAAATTATGTTCTAGAGAATAGATGGCAAGTTGGAGAATTTCACCAGAAGCTTAAATCTGTATCTATAAAAAATACAAATTCTGAAACTGAAATACAGAATACTTTATGTTAATCATTCAAAATATAGTATTAATATTACCAGATTAGACACAGCAGAGAAGAGGTGGGACTTGAAAATATGGACTAAAGCAAAAAGTGATTAAAAAATATATGAATTCTAAAGACATGGGGAAAATATTCAAAATATGTATAATTAGAACTACAGATGAGGCAGAGAAAGACTATATGGCAGAAGCTGTATTTGAGAAATTACTAACCAATGAATTCCCAAGAGTTAAAATATTATGAAGCCACAAAATTAGAAAGTTTTGCAAACCTAAAACAAGTCCAGTGAAACCCACATCTGGACAAGCAAGGGTAAGATTTTGTAAACCAAATATAAAATTTTATAAACAGCAAAGAAAATGTAATATTAATTTTAAAGATGCAATAATAGTTTGATAGCTACAATTTTAACAGAAAAAGTAAAAAATCTTTGATATTTTTTGTTTTTATTGTGATAAAATACATATAAAATTCATCGTTTTAACCATTTTAAAGTGTACAATTCAGTGGTATTTAGTACATTCACAGCTACCACCACTATTTAGCTCCAGAACATTTTTATCAACCCAAAAGGAAACTCTCTACCCATTAAGCAGTCACTTCTTATTTTCCTACACCCTGGCAAACACTTATCTGCTTTCTGTGTCTATGGATTTGCCTATTAGGGATATTTTATAGGACAGAATCATACAATATATGGCCTTTTATGTGTAGTTTCTTTCACTTAGAATAATGTTTCCAAAGTTCGGCCATGTTGTGGCATGTATCAAAGGTTCCTTTTTATGGTCAAATACTATTCAGTTGGTACTGAAAGTGCAAACAGAAAGTAACTGGCAAGGTATAATTCTATATGCAATAGAATTGTCCTGTAAAAATAAACCAAAAGATTTTTTTCAAACAAACAGGAACCAAGAGAATTTTTCACAAGCATACTCCCATTAATAGAGATACAGATAAATATTGTCCAGATAAATTTGTGTTCTGCATTGCATGGGGAAATGCATTTGAAAACTATAAAAAACAAAATAGTAAAACAGATTAATAAATATACATTAATACTTATTGATTAAAATTAATATTATAAATAATATTTTTGGAGTTTAAAATAAACATAAAATTAAATGTCAAAATAACCAAAATGGCATAGAATAGTAAATGCAGTTACAGTGATCTAAGATCTGGTATTTACAGAAAAATGGTAAAAGTGATCATTTGTATTAGATTGTGATACATTGAACATACATAATATAATCACTATGATAACCCTTAAAATAATAAAAGGAAATTTTTAAATAGAAAATTAACATGGAGAAAAGAGAGAATATGAAAAAGTACTTGCTTAATCTAAAAGCAAACAAGAAAGGGAACAAGGCTAAGTGAATGAATGAATGAATGAATAGATTAAAGGAATAGAAAAAAGGGGCAAATATAAATAGTAAATGATAAAATTGAAAACAAATATTATATTTTAAAAATTTGAATATATACAGAAACCAAGTCATCTTATTAAAAAATGATAGTTGGGTCCAGGCACGGTGGCTCACACCTGTAATCCCAACACTTTGGGAGCCCAAGGTGGGTGGATTACCTGAGGTCAGGAGTTCGAGGCCAGCCTGGTCAACGTGGTGAAACCCTGTCTCAAAATACAAAAATTATTTTGAGACCAGGCATGGTGGCATATGCCTGTAATTCCAGCTACTTGGGAGGCTGAGGCAGGATAATTGCTTGAGCCTAGGAGACGGAGGTTGCAATGAGCTGAGATCGTGCCACTGCACTCCAGCCTGGCCATCAGAGTGAGACACTGCCTCCAAAAAAAAAAAAAAAAAAAAAAAAAAAAGATAGTTGGAATGGATGAAATATAATTCATCCATATACTGATTATATTAACAGTAAGCAACACAACTTAAATAGGATAGAGAAATACTGAAAATAAAAGGATACAAAAAGTATACCATAAAAACACTAACCAATAGAACATGAAAGTCACTATCCATATTAATATCCAAGTCCATATTTAGTAAAATGGACTATTACACATTTCATAATAGACATCTCATAGGAATCCACTAGGAAGGTGTAACATAGATTCAGAAGAGATGAATAAAAACATATCAAATATTAAAGAAGAAATAGCAATTCCACATTCATGGTAGAAGAATTTAAACTACTGTCTTACTAGCTCAAAGTAAAGGACAAATAAAAAGCAAGAACACAGACTACCCCCCAAAAAACAAAAAAATAAATATTTTGACTATGGTGATTAACAAATTCAAATATGTATGTATATGAATGCTTATGTATATGTATGTATAGATTTAGTAAATGTAAAGAGACTACTCCAATGAAAAAATATAGATACATATTTTGTATGTATATCTAGAATAATCAGTAGATACGTGTAGAGGTAGGTAGATATAGATAGATATCACTGTTCATAAACATACATATAGATTATGTAGATTTTTTCAGAGACCAAGAGAATTTGGTTTCTGTGCATGCATTTGCTTTCTGTGCATATGTATACATGCATAGACATTGCGGAGGAAAAGTTAAATATTAAAATTGAACTCAATTGAACGTGGACACAAACAATGGTCACCAAGTCCCAGAACAGGTTGTGTGAGCCCCTTGAGGTGTTCATCCAGTGCCGTTTTGGAGAAATCTCTATTTCAATCTATTCCTATACATTAGTTATTGAAAAACAATAGACACTTACAAAAACAAGTTGACCTTTTTGTGTTCCTTGAGCCCAGTCGTGAACAGACCTCGTGACTGGGCCTCATGCCAAACAACTTGTTACAAAAAGAGCTAGGGTCCCAGACTGCGCTGAAGCTTCATGAGACCTTTCCTCATCTGTGCACGGATGGGTGGCCAACTCTGGAGCCCAGGCTCTTGCTTCCCAGTCTGGTGGTGAATCCTCCATAGTCTGGTGAGTGTTAAGTATCTTTTCCCTTCTCCCCTTCCCATTGCAATTTGCTTATTGTATCAATCTGTTTATTATATCATTTTCTTATTGTTATATCATTTGCTTATTATATCTGCATTGCCATTTGCATGGGATAAAGATTGTTTACCCCTAAGGTATTTTGTGTGTGTCTTTTCTTCTCCCCTCGCACATTTTCCATACAGAACAGACATGTATACATATATATAGGTATAGATAGATATAGGTTCATATATAGATATGGGTATCTCCACTCACTGAATTCAATTCTTTACAAGCACACATTTAATATTTATAAAAATTAATCATATGCTTGCCACATAAGCAAGATTAAATCCCAAAGCATTTAAATAATATAGTGTATGATGTCTGAATATACTAAAAGCTAAAAATAAATAACAGTATGACAACTAGAAAACCCAAAAGTATTTGCACATTACCCAGTATAATTATAAACAACCTGTAGGTCAAAGTAGAATGCACAATGGAAATTAGAAAATGAATCCTGCTGAATAACAATACAAATATGGCACAACAGCATATGATGAGTGCCTCCAAAGCAGTGCTTATAATAAAATTCAGAGTATTAAACACTATAAAAAGAGTGGCTGAAAAAAATGGATTATTTACATGTTTCAAAAGTTGGAAATAGTATTCACTTAGGATGTTTGACAGACTATTATAGAAAACAAAAGAGCAAGTCCAGTGCAAGTATTGTATTAAGAATGTATTCCCACATGTTATAATAATAAAAGAAGCAGAAGCAAAAATTATAGAAAGTCTAAGAAACAAATTATAACAAATTTGACCATATGAACATATATAGACTCCTGCAAGAGTAGGGGTATGGGTAGAGATAAGATTTTGGGTTCTAATGGAAGTCACAACAAATTTCAAAGCATTGAAATTATAAAAAGTCTGTTCTCAATTTAGAGAGGAAATATTTTAAAAATCAATAACCAAAAGAAAACTAGAAAATTTCAAACTACTTGGAAATGAAGCAGTACAATTCTCAACAGTACATGGCTCAAAGGAAAAACAACAATGGGAATCAGAAAATATTATTTACTTTAGGATATGGAAAATATATCCAAACTTGTAGAATGTTGCTAAAACAGTGCTTAGCTTTACTTAGCCTTAAGTTTCTATATTAAAAAATAAGAAAAGCTGAAAATTAGTGATCTCTCACTAATTGGTTCACTAATTATCAAGCTGATAATTATCAAGATGCTAGAACAAAAGGAAAGCATAAAATATGAAGAAAGTAGATGGAAGTGAAGAGTAAAGATAAAAACAGAAATCAATGAAATAAACAAATGGACAACAGAGAAAACAAGCTAAAATTTAATCCTTTAAAGGATTAACAAAATCAATAAATAACTGAAAGCCTAAAAAAAGAATATACAAATAACTGGTTTCAGGATAAAAATGTAATACCAGTACAGATATTATAGAGATTAGAAAGAAAATACAGAAAAATATTATGATCTATTTATACCAATAAATTTGGTTAGATTAAATGGGCACAATTCTTGCAAAACATAATGTATGGAAACTACACGAAAAGAAAAACACAATCTAAATATTCCAATGGCAGTTAAAGAAATTTAATTTGTGATTTAAACCCTTCCCACCAAGATAACTCCAGGTCAAGGTGGCTTTTGCTTTTATATCTTACAAATATTTTAGGAAAATTGATATAAATATATAAAGTATTTTAGAGAGTTGAAAAATAAGACTCATTACTCAACTTTCAGGATTATTTTGGTCTCAAAACCTGGCAAGGGTAGGCCGGGCGCGGTGGCTCAAGCCTGTAATCCCAGCCCTTTGAGAGGCCGAGGCAGGCGGATCACGAGGTCAGGAGATCGAGACCATCCTGGCTAACACGGTGAAACCCCATCTCTACTAAAAATACAAAAACATTACCGGGCGTGGTGGCGGGCGCCTGTAGTCCCAGCTACTCGGAAGGCTGAGGCAGGAGAATGGCATGAACCCGGGAGGCAGAGCTTGCAGTGAGCCGAGATCGCGTCACTGCACTCCAGCCTGAGCGACACAGCGAGACTCCCATCTCAAAAAAAAAAAGAAAAAAAGAAACAAAACAAAACAAAACCTGGCAAGGGTCTTACCAGTGGGGAAAATTATACACCAAGATCTATTTCACATGCATGCAAAAATGTTAAACAATATGTCAAGAATTTAAGCAACAAGCTTGCTTGCTCAGTAAGTCTAGGATATGAGGAAGAGTTTGTTATTTGGAAACACTCTCTTGAGATTTAAAAGGTAATGGCTGACAAGATTTTCAGGAGATGGTACGACCTTGCCATGAGAATGGTTCCTAGAAGAATAGAAAAAGCAATGATCCGTGGTAAGTGATGTCAAAATGCCGTCACTGCTGAAGATGACTTTGAAGGAAGGGATTAAAAGGCTCTGTAAAGTGAGCAGGAATGGATATACTATGTCTATTATGAAGTATTCCAAAGGAAGGACCTGGGGATATGCCAGTTACCAAGGCCATAAGGAATACATTGGTGAGAAGCACCAGAATCCAGGTCTGCTCTGTAGATCAGAGTGGACAGTGGAAAGGCCATTGTTGATCTATGAGCACTGACAAGGATGATGGAACCCCAAAGCAATAAGAAGTAGTGACTGTCCAACACCAGATGGATGTGATTTTATTGTGTGGTGAATTCAGAGTGGCAGCCAAAGGGCCTCAGATAATTCTGGAGATGGTTAATTGAATAAAGTGTTTCTATGGGCAAAACAGATAGGCAACCAACAAGGGAATCACTGAACATTTACAATGATAAGAAATGAAAGGTGGATGATCCAGAGGCTGAAGGCAGTCGGCACAATACAAAGTTATGCTACTTGGGAGGCTGAGGTGGGAAAATTCCTTAGGCCGAGTTCAAGGCCAGCCTGGGCAACATAATGAGACCCCCCCATCTATATTAATAATAATGATAAATATAAGAATCATGAGCCTTTGACTAATTTCCAATCCCTGACCCCAGTGTCTCAACAGGATTCGGATATCTAGGAAGAAGGACTCTAAGGTGTCATCTTTCCCAAAACAGATTTACATCCTACTACCTGGGTAACCATACACTGGGGAAAGGGAGATACCTAATTATTTTGGGTACTTTTTGACATAGGGACATAGTTGACATTGAATCCTGGAGGTGTGAAGCATTATCGTAGCCTCCTTGGTAGAACACTGGCATATAGGTCTAGGTAATAAAAAGAAAACTGGTCAAGGCCCATCTCATAGTGGATTCTCTGTCTCTGTGGTATCTAAGACCAATTATATTGATTAATACAATAAATATCTTCATTTTCACATTATATTATCATCTTTGTGCACTCATGTGCCTTGGAATTAGTCCACTAACAGTATCAAGTAAATTTGGGCACACAAACTTCATCACAGATAAAAAAAATATTGTCTCATATCATTTTAGCAGAACAGGGTATTCTGGGCTCTAGTTGCAAAATATTGCATCATGTTAAAGACTAAGTGAGAATATCACATTTCTTATTTTTTTTGTCTACAGAAATATATTTATTGAGTTTTTAAAAGAGACATTCTAAAACTTATAAGAATAAAAGGGTCAAGAATAGTTGAAATTTTCCCTTAGAAGAGTATCAATATAGGTATATATATATGTCCTATGCATTATCAATTTATTACTATTATAATATTTAGTCACATACCCATACTATGCAATGCAATTTTCTACATTTTTTTGCATATATAAACAAATTTGGTCTTGTTAAATATTCAAATTACCTTTTGTAGATATTAAGTACCATGTCTACAGTCACACTGCTGACAGTGCAGAGCCAACAATTCAATCCACAATACTTGGTTGCTCTTAACTATTGTCTATATTGAAAAATTAAGTTAGTGCTAAGGGTAGATAAATAAAACAGTGGAACAAAATATCACAAAACACAAATACACATATAAATTGGAACTGCAGATCAATTCTGAAAGAATTAATTACATAAATTATATTGAAACTATTATTCATATAAAAGAAAATATAATTTTATTTCTTGAAATCATATATTAAAACCTACTCCAGGTACATTAAGAATTAAATGTAAAAAATAAAACAAATATTTAGAAGATAATATAAAAACTATCTTTATGGCTTGGGGTAAATAAATATTTATTAAACAATAAAGTAGGGCAAATTATAAAGCAAATGCCTATTGTAACTATAGTACATTAAAATTAAAAATGATTTATATAATGTTACCATACAGTAGCAAAATAATTCAAGAACAAGGAATAACAATGATTATGTTTGAAAATATAATTTATACTTTATGAAGACATAAATCAAACATTTAAAGCTATTTAATATAAAAATAAACCAAATATATGAACAGGTATTTTGCTAAAGAGCAAACAACTGGCAAATGTGTATAAATATGCTCAATCTTCTTAATAATTAGACAAACACATATTTAAGCCACAATGAAATATTTAGTCCCATTAGACTGGAAATTATTTTAAGTCTTATTGTACAGGAGTTCAGAAGGACATAATGTCAGGTGTTTTGATCAATGATAATATTCATAGGTTGCAAATGAGAAAGAAAATGGCTACAAACTGTTTTGAAAACCCCATTTGATATTATCACGTAAAACTGAATGTGCACATCCTAGGAGTATTTTGAATTCAGCTCCTAGAAGTGTACTTTAATGAATGTCTTGTGTATGTGCACCATATGATATATAAAATAATCTTCATATCATCATTGTAATAATACAAAATTGAAAATTATCTCAATATTAAGAACAAAATGAAAAAGTCAATTGTGGCATAATTATAAAATATAAAATATATAAAATATAAAAAGTGGAAAAAGAATGAACTAATATATTAAGATATAAAAGAAAGTTTTAAAAGAATATACACAAAGTGATATTAAACCTGTATAATGTAGAAACATAGAAAATTATAATACATATTTTAGAAATGTATAAAATATAGTAAATTATGAAGGAATAATTGCAGTGTTTATTTCTTAAGCTCTGTGGTGGATAAACGAGTATTCTATATGTCTGTTTGTATGTCTAAACTATATAAGTATATTTAAAAATACATTTGAAACAAGAGTGGTTAACTTTCTTAAGGTTCCTAATAAGCTGTTGTGCTAAAATTGAATCCCAAACAGCCTTACTTCTTACTGTAAGTTATTTGCTTTGTTTCGCTTTGTGAAAAATGTGTTTTTTAAGACAATTTTTAGAGTAGTTTTCATTTCGAAGCAAAATTATGGAGATTTCCCATATAACTCTGCCGCCATATATGCAACATGTTTTAGCCTCCCCCATTATCAACATCCTCCATCAGAGTGATACACCTGATATAGCTGATGTACCTACAATGACAGACACATCATTAATACCAAAAGTAAGTCCATTGCTCACATTACAGTTCATTCTCAGTGTTGTACATTCTATGGTTTTTGACAAATATATAATGAATAATATCATAAAAACTTTTTTACTGCCTTAAAATCTGCTTGCTTTGCCAATTCATGCCTCCCCCAACTCCTGGCAAACACTTTTTTTTTTTTACCTGCTCCATAATTTTACCTTTTCTGGAATGTTATATAGTTGGAATCATAAAATATGTAGCCTTTTCTGATTGGCTACTTTCACTTAGTGATATGCATTTCATGTCTTTCCAAGATTTTTCGTGGCTTGGTGGCTCATTTCCTTTTAGCCTTGAGGAATATTCTGTTGTCTGGATTTACCACAGTATATTTATTCATTCACCCACTGAAGGGCATCTTGGTTGCTTCCAAGTTTTATCAGCTATAAATAAAGTTGCTATAAACATCCATGTACAGGCTTTTGCGTGGATTTAAGTTTTCAACTCTTGGGTAAATTCCATGAGTGTGACTGCTGAATTGTATGGTACGTTTAGTTTTGCACAAAACTGCCAAACTGTCTTCCAAAGTGGTTGTACCATTTTGCATTCCCATCAATAGTAAATGACAGTTCCTGTTATTTCACATCCATGCCAGAATTTGGTGTTGCTTTTGTTCGACATTTTGACCATTCTAATAGGTATGTAGTAGTATCTCATTGTTCTAATTTGCATTTCCCTGATGATATGTGTCTTCGTCTGTTTTGGCTGCTATAACAAAATACCTTATAAGTAAATAATTATTTAATTGTAAATAATTCACAGTTCTGGAGGCTGGGAAGTCCAAGATCAAGGTGTTGACAGATTTAGTATCTAGTGAAGCCTCATACTTTGCTTCATAGAGGTTCCTCTTGCTGCATCTTCATATGCAGAAAGCACGAAAGACTCCTTAAAGCCTCTTTCATAAGGGTACTAATCTCATTTATGACCACAAAGCCCTCATGACCTAATAACATCCTAAAGGCTTTACCTCTCAATACTGCCACAATGGGGATTAGATTAAACCTAGGTATTCTGGAGGGACGGAAACATTCAGACCATAGTAACATATGATATGGAGCATCTTTTCATATGCTTATTTTCCATCTGTATATCTTCTTTAGTGAGGTGCCTGTGAAGGTCTTTTACATTTTTAAATCAGTTTTTCTTATTACTGACTTTTAACAGTTCTTTGTATGTTTGGATAACAACTCTTTTTTAGATATGCCTTTGCAAATATTTTCTCCCAGATGGTAGCTTGTCTTCTCATTATCCTGACCTTGTCTTTTGCAGAGTAGAAGTTTTTAATTTTAATGAAGCAGCTTATTAATGATTTCTTTCCTGGACTGTACCTTTGGTGTTGTATATGAAACATCATGGCCATACTCAAGGTCATATAGTTTTTCTCCTACGTCAGTTTCTAGGCTGACCACTGTGTTCAGCCACTATAATACAGTATTTCTTAAACTGTTAGATATCGCCTGTACCATAAATCTAATCAGAACAATGGGGATACAAAAGATTATTATAGCACTACTTGAGGAGCATTATAAAACAATTACTTGGATAAAACCTAATAGACCGGATTACTGAAACTAACTGTTAATTTTTTAAGAAGAACTCCTCTCTACCACATACCAAACCAAGGAAATGAAAGAATGGGAAAGACAAAAGAAGGAAGAAAGAAGAAAAGAAAGAGACAGAGAGGAGAGAAATGGAGGGAGTAGAAGGCAAAGGGGAAAAAGGAAGTAAGGAGAGCAGAAGAGAAGAGAAATGTCTCAATTTTGATCAAGTAAATAGAAACACAATCATTAGGAATGAAATAATGACATAATGACAGATTCAAATAACTAAAAGATAATATATACAATGCGCCAATAACCTCAACAATCTAATAATTATTAACGTTTCAAAAGACATGTTTACAAAACTAATTCCAGAGATATGTGAACTAACAAATGATAGGATAACAGAAAAAAATTGATCTATTTTCTTTTTTCCCCCTCTAGTCCCACATAAAACATAATAACCAAGGCTTAGATTATTGTAAAACAAATTCTCGGAAACCTTCTAGGACCTACACTTTTTTTTTTGACAATTAACTTGACCAGTGCACAGAAAATAACAAAACCTACTGAATGTATTTTATGGGTTTATTGTATTCCACAAAATCAAGCTAGGATATACTTTTACTAATAAATATATATGCCAGAAACTAATAAACTGTCAGCAAGCTAAGTGCATTATATTAATATACATCATTACTGTGCCTTTTTTAAAAGAATGCAAGAATAATCTGACTTTAAGAAGTCTATCAATAGTCAGATACTCTCCTTCTATATTGTCTCTCCCATATTCCACCTCAAAGATTCTAGAAGTATTCCTCCAGCCTCAAAATTGTTAGAGGGAGATTGAAGGAAGAACATTTGTTTCTTGTTCACTTTAGGATGAGTGGGTTGAACAACCTGTTTGCTCACATGCCATTCCTGAGAATTGGTCACATGACTCCATCTAGTTTCCCAAGTGTAAAAGGAACTGGGAAGTATAGTTATGAGTGGGAAGCCACTTCTTAGCAAGCCTCTACTCCAGGATAGGGGCCCACACATTCATTTTCTGATGAAATTGTAGTTATCTCTACTATATCAAACACCAAAAATAAGCTCCAAGGACTTGAAACTAATTGGTGTAATCTGTACTCTTGGCCATGGTGGTTTCAAAGATAGGCAAGTGATTTAAATTGCTCTAATCAGTTTTAATCTTAGGACTTGGACTGGCAATGCCTGGATGCAGATTCTCTCTTAACTGCTAAATAGGATCTTGAGAGAATATAGCCTTGGGTGCTACTAACAGCCTCATGTGACCACAAGCGTAAACCATGTCTGAAAATGGAGCCAAGCCAAATCAAGGAGAAAAATCAAGAGCTACATCCTGATCTTAAATCCTTTTTAAGCCCTGAATCAAGCCTCATTTCAGAACACCTGATTAGGCCTAGTGTGTTTAATTAGGTGAGCTAAATTTTTGCTTGTTTGTTTGGTTGAATGTTTGCTTATTTGCAGCTAAACATGTACTTATATAAAAATTGATAACAGTTCAATAATGTGACCAGTTAGCCTATAGCTTTAGAGAAAACAGTAAACGATTTGTAATAACAGTGGGAAAACAAAATCCTACTAACATTTTTTAACATATATTTTCAATTGACAAACTGTAGTTTCAAATATTTATGGGGTACAATGAGATGTTATATATATATTCAGTGTGGAATGCATAAATCAAACTAACATATAACTCATCTCATATAGTTGTCAATTTTGTGATAAACACACTTGAAATTACTCTCATAGCAATTTTAAGATATACATTATTATTAACTATAGTCACCAGGCTGTGCAATAAATCTCAAAACCATTCCTCCTAACTGAAACTTTGTACCCCTTAACCAACATCTCCCCTATTAACATTGACAACAAAATCTATTAACAAGGAATGATCAAAACCTATATGAAATATATTAAAATATACATTGTAAGGCATGGATTACACTTTTAATAAAATTATTTTTCAGTAACTTTGGAAGATCTGAGTCATAAATTGATATGGATGAGAATCTTTGTTTTGAAGTATATTTCTCCAACGTTTCCCCCAATTTTATACATTATTGGTTTTTCTCCTTTATGAGAATAATTTCATTTTTTATGTTTTCCTAGCAAATGATCCACTTTATGGAGGTTTTCAAATGCATGAGCACGGAGCCTCACTTAGTATTCTTTCATAATTATTGTTCCATGATATCTTTTCATAACTGCAACAATAGCTTTTGTTTTTAATGTTTTGTACTTTTGTTTCTCCATCCTTCCTGATTAGTTATATTAGATTTTTATAAAATTATTTTTTCCCTCTGTGACCTCTCTTTAACTTAGAGGAAGCAGAGGCTAATTGGGTTACAGAATATTAATTGTTTATTGATGTTATGATGCTCAAACTAATTAACATATACCTCATATTGCTTTTAGCATAGAAGTCTGGCGTTAGCTTTGGTCAAGCCTAAATCAGAGAGAAAAGACTTTTTTTTTTTTTAAATAAAAAACCTTTTTATTTATGTAAAGAGCAACCTATCATTTTACTACCCCTTCCCAATTCTACCCTCCCTACTTAGGAAAACTAACATCCCCCAATCTTTGCCTTTAAGTATAGATCTTTTCTGACAGAATATGATATGCAGCATTATCCCAATACATTTTTTTCCCAGAAATATTGACAATCTCAATAATATTTACAGTTAATTTATAACATCTCAATGTCTAGCATGCATGTACCAAAAACATAAGAAGTATAGATTTTATATTCCAAATGGAAGAGACAAGAGTGTATCATGAATGCCACAGGAAAAAAAAAAAAGGAAAGAAGGAAAGCATAGAAGAAGGAAGAAAGGGAAGAAAGAAGACAGGGAATGAGGCAAGAATGCAGGAAATAAGGCAGTCTTTTAAAGCAATCCTTAAATTAAAGAATAAACCCTTAGACATGAAGCTTCCTGAAGATTATAGTTCAAACACACATGTGAAGGGAAGAAAATCAGCTTAAATATTTCCAGTTCAACTGTATTCACTTCAATTATATTTGACAATTAGGTCACCTTTATGTTAACAATAAGTGTCTCACGTTAAACTTTATTAGCATTTGGGTATGCACATCGGTAATACAATATTCAAATAACCACCATACAAATCAGAGCAGATGCTGGCCATTAACAATTGGTAGATTGTGCTGGTGTACACTGGATGAAAAATCAACCGAAGTGTTCATTGCCAACATGAGAAAGCAACAACAACAAAACTACTAAGCTCCAAGTGTAATTGTTTTTATGTTTTCTAAATGAGTGTTTTTATATTTATCTATATTTTTCTGTTTTCCTATGATCATTCTGTAAACATTTATGAGTTTATTTGATTAGACAGACTCAATGTTTTATTTAACAGTCTGTTTTATTGTATAGTCTTTGTATAATAATAAGGCATTTAAAGCTTTTCCTTCTGATTATAAATTAAACATCATGTTTGAAATTGTTATTATAATTTTGTTTTCCCTTAGCTGGCCATGAAATTCAATGCTTTCATCCTTTCTGATCCAAGTTTTACTTAAAAAGATTAGCTTCAATTATTTAGAAATATTTTTAACTGTCTTTACTTGGGGAAGTGTTATTTCTTCCTATTTTATGTCACTAGCATCAAGAAAAACATCTTGTACATTTTGATTTTTGAGATTTTATTTTCATTCTATAATTATTTTAATACTCCATATGCATCTGAGGAGTGCAATGTGATATGAAAATATTGTAGGTTGTCTCAAATGTATCCTTTCTTCCTTTTTTCCTTATGTACAGTACATAAAAACTGTTCGTAGTTTTGAGTGCAGCTCGGGATGTGTCACGTCACAGACTCCGTTGTATCTTGGAGTGGTCATGTGAACCATTTCTGAGAAGTGAGCAGAAACTGTGACTGAGTTGGAGTCCTGGTGCTGACAGTAACTGCTACTTGATGGGATTTGGACAGCCAAAAATAAGACTTCCTGGGTGTGAGATGAGTGAGCTTTATATTTCTTCAAGCTACTGTCTGTATAGAACAATAATTTGATTCTCCCTATCAAGAGCTGGCAAATCTTTTCTATAAAGGAGAATAGTAGATAGTAAGCATTTTAGGTTTTGATGTGATATCTGTTACAACTGTTCAAATCTGTAAACAAATGAGTTTGAGTATACATAACCGAAAATTTATTTACAAAAATAGACGGGGGCCAGATTTGATCCACTGGCCATAGTTTGACAGTCAATTTCTCTGTATTGTGATGATTCTTTCTCTTTTTTGTCTATCTGTTTTCAATTTTATCTGTCAAATACTAAGGAAGATGAGGTACATTCTCCCAGTATTAGTGTTTTCTTTTGATTTTTTTCAATTTCTGTGTGTTTAATTCATCACTATAAATTTTCACAAGTTGGAACTCATTATAAATGTTTTTATTATAATATCCAATGAACAATCAAAAAATGGAATTAAAACATTTTCACTTAAAATAGCATCAAAAAGAATAAAATACTTAGGAATTAAATTAATCAAGTAGATGAAAGAATTATATACTGAAAGCTATGAAATATTGCTGAAAGTAATTAAGGAATACATACATAAGTGGAAAGCCACCCCCGTTCACGAATGGAAAGATTTAATATTGTTAAGATATCAATACTACCCAAATCAATCTATAGATTGAATGCAATCCCTGTTGAAATCCCAATAACTTTTTATGCAGCATTAGAAAAGTCCATCTTAAAATTTATATAGCATCTCAACAAACTTTAAATAGCCAAAACAATCCTGGAGAAGAACAAATTTGCGGATCTCATTTTTTTAAATTTCAAAACTTATTACAAAGGTACAGTAATCAAAACAGTGTGGTGCTAGAATAAAGACAGGCATATGAAGTACTATAATAGAGAGCCCAGTAATAAACCCTCATATATATGGTCAAATTATTTTTGAGAAGGGTATCAAGACTTTCAATGGAGAAAGGAAAGTTTTGGGTTTTTTTGTCCCAACAAATGGTGCTGGGAAAATTAGATAACCACATGCAAATGAAGGAAATTGGATCTGTACTTTACAACATATACAAATATTAACTCAAAATGAATCACAGATCTAAATGCATGAGCTAAAAATCTAAAAATCTTAAGAGAAAATGAAAAGGAAAACCTTTATGACACTGGGTGTAGCAATGATTTCTTGGGTATGTCACCAAAAGCATAGGCAACAAAAGAAAAAATAGACAAATTGGACTTCATCCAAATTAAAACTTTTGTTCATGAAAGGACACTATCAACAGAATAAAAAGGTAACCCACAAAATGGGAGAAAATATTTGCAAATTACCTATTTAATAAGGAATTAAGATCTAGAACATACAGAGAACTCCTAAATTTCAGTGAAAATAAAACAATTTAAAAATGATTATTTGAACTATGCAAAGAACTTGCATAGACATATTTTCAAAGAAGATAAATGGCCAATAAGTGTATAAAAATAGATACTTAATATCAACTTAATATCACTAATAATTAAGGAATTGCAAGTCAAAACCACAATGACATACCACCTTATTTCCGTTAGGATGGCTAGTAACAAAAAAGAAACAATAAACAAAAACCAAGTGTTGACATGGATGTAGAGAAATTGGAATCCTTTTGCATTGCTGATGGGAATTTAAAATAGTACTACTGTTATGGAAAATAGTATGGTGGCTCCTCAAAAAATTAAACATGGAATTACCATTTGATCCAGCAATTCCACTTCTGAGGATATACCCAAAATAATTGAAAGGAGGAACTTGAAATATCTGGATACTATTTTTATCAGTATTCAGCATTTTTATCAGTATCAGCATTTTTCATAACCAAAAAATAAAAACAACTCATAAATCTAGCAGCATTTGAATGGATGAACAAAATGTAGTATATAACTACAATGGAATATTATTCAGCATTAAAAAAGGGTGAAATTCTGATACATGCTTTAAGACATTATAGTCTGTAAAATAAGCCAGATACAAAAAGACAAATACTCTTTGATTCCACTATATGATGTATCTAGTGTAATAAAATTCATAGAGATGGAAAGTAACCCCTGGTTACGAAGGGCCAGGGGGAGAGGAGATTGGGGAGTTATTGCTTATTTGGTAGTTTTAATATGGGGTAAAAAAAGTTTTGCAGATTATTAGTGGTAATGGCTGCACAACAATGTGAATAATAGTTAATTCCTCTGAACTGAACACTTAAAAATGGGTAGAATGATAAATTTTGTTATGTATATTACCACAATAAATTAACTTAAAAGTGATTTCTGTAGACCATTTACTAAATATTGCATTAAATTTTATTTTTACTGTTACATTTCCCTACTCTCTTTATCCTTTTGCTATTTTCCTATCTTTTTATCTTAACCATTTTATGTCAGGTAGTTTTATATGTTTTCTTTGGAAAAACACATACTTGAATTTTAGTGTTTGGTTTTATTTTAAATTATTTTTCTTTTGTTAATACATTTTATTGAGGTATAAATTAAAAACAATAAAATGTCCAAAATTCAATAAGATTTGACAAATACATGTCCCCCATGCAACCATCAATCCAATTAATTTACAGAACATATCTATCACACCTGAAATTTCCCATATGGCCTTTGCACTTCTAAATTCGCAGTGAATTACTAATTGGATTTTTATCACCATATCATCTTTTTGCCTATTTAGATCTTAACATAAATGAAATAATATAGTATGTACTCTCTTGTGCCTGGTTTCTTTTGTTGAATTCATTGATAAGTGTAACAGTTGTTTATTAATATTTAGTAAGAAGAGGCACAACATTGCATGACTATACCATAGTATGTTAATCTTCTCACCTGTTGATGATATTTGGTTTCTAGATTTTACTCTTATCAGTAAAGTTTCTAGGAATATTTGCATAATAGTCCATTGGGGACATATAATTTCATTTCACTTAAGTGAATACTCAGAAGTAACATGGTGAAATGGTATGTTATGTGTATGTTTACCTCTGTAAGAAATTTCCAAAATGCTTAAAAAATTTACATTGGTACCTATCATATATAGGAAGTCCAATAGCTCCACTCCCTTAGCAAAAACTGGTTGTTATTCTCAGCCTCCTTTAATATTTAATATTCTGAGAGTGTAAAGTAGTAATAATATAATATACTTTAACTTACCACACTCTACTTTCAAACAGTATTAGTGCATTTTAATTATAGTGTAAGAAACTTATAACCATGTCCATTTCTTTCCTCCCATTTTTTGTTATTGTTGTCTTAATTTTCACTCCTATATGTGTTATAAACCCAATACATTGTTCTATTTGTGAACAGAGTCGATATTATCTTTCACTTGTAAACTGCTTTATTTAGAGTATAATTGGCCAACAATAAATGACACAAGTAAATCTTATAATGAGTTTTGGCATGTATAAACTAAGAAATTTTCTTACACTTTTGCATTCGTTTTTGTAAATCCTGTTGATCTTCCCATTTCTATATAGATCTAGAATTTCATCTGGTGTCACACTCTTTCTTCTTGAAGCATTTTCTTTAATATTTTATAGTGCATAGCTCTTGGCAATGAATTCTCACTTTGTGAGAAAAACTTTTTATTTACTAATCTTTTTTTTTCTTATTTTTTTTTAAGACAGATTCTCCCTCTGTCACCCAGGCTGGAGGGCAGTTGCATGATCACAGTTCACTGTAGCCTCCACCTCCTGAGTAGCTAGGACTGCAGGCATGTGACACCACACCCACCTAATTATTGTATTTTTTGTAGAGATGGGGATTCACCATGGTGCACAGGCTGGTCTGGAACTTCTGGGCTCAAGCTATCTTCTTTTTTTTTTTTTTTTTTGATAGAGTCTTGCTCTGTCACCCAACAGGCTGGGGTGCAGTGGTGCAATCTCAGCTCACTGCAACCTCCGCCTCCTAGGTTCAAGCAGTTCTTCCTGCCTTAGCCTCCTGAGTACCAAGCTATCTTCTTTCCTTGCCTTCCCAAAGTGCTGGATTACAGGTGTGAGCCACCATACTTGGCCTGCATCCTTTTTTTTTTTTTTAAATGTCACTGGGGCTACAATTTTGTGTCAATTCATTTTGTATGTGTGGCCTTTAAAGACGTCACTCCATTGTTTTCTAGCTTGTAATATTTCTTTTTTAAATTAATTTTTTATTTTAATAGTTTTTGGAGTATGGATGGTATTTGGTTACACAGATAAGTTCTTTAGCACTGATTTCTGAGATTTTGGCTTGTAGTATTTCTAATGATTAATCTGGTACAACTATCATATTTGTTTCTCTCAATGTCTTGCAGTGTTTTGTTTTGTTTCTCCTGCCTCTAAACTGCCTTCGAGATGGATTTTTTATTTTTGCCTTTCTCTAGTTTGACCATGATGTGTTTGTGTGTACATGTGAGTCCCTTTTTTTGTCCTTTTCCTGTTTGGGTTTTTCCAACCTACTTGGACATGTCGTTTGTTGTATTTCATTAATTTTGGAAAATTCTAGACCATTCTTTTTAAAATGTTTCTTCTGCCCATTCTGTTTCTATTTTTCCTGAAAAAAAAGCAATTACATGTATATGCAGATTCACACTGTTTTCAGCTTTTGGGAGCTCTGCTCTGGTTCTTCCTTCCCCACCCTGGCTCTCAACACACATACTTTTTTCTTCTTTGCATTTCATTTTGGATACTTTTTGTTCACTTCTTCTCACTTTCAGGGATTATGGATTCTTTCCTCACCTATATCCAAACTTTCCCTGGGTCCACCAAAGGAACCCTATCTATGATATTTTATTTATTTTTTTATTTCTAGCATTTCCATTTGACTTTTTTATATACTTACATCTCTGAGTCTATTACTTCATCTCTTGTTAATGGTTGGGTTATTTTCTTCCTTTATTGTGTCTCATGATTTTTTAAAAATTGAATGCCAGAAACTATGGGAGACACTTGAAAAAAAGATAAATAAAATCACTACCAGAAATGGGCATGAATCTTCTTTTGTTTATTATGTGGAATTGAGTCAATTTAGTCATAACTCGAGCTGGTTTGGGTTTTTGTTGTTACACTCTCTAGTTGACCACAGGAAATATTTCTAGTGTTAACCTGCTGTTACTTTGTGCTTAGAGTGGGGCATGAGATGATGGTGTTCTTTTTGCTTTTGGCTTTTTCAGGCTTATCTTTCAGCAGCCTTTGCACACCTGTGACGTGAGGACATTTCTCTCTATGCAGTGCCCCTCTCCCAGTGGTAGACTGCTGTTATTTACTAGGAAGGTACTTCTTTCATACTAAATACAGAGGAAGGTTCCAGTTTCTTGTTTCAGTTTCAGCCTTATGCAGGCCTTGTATCCCTGGCCTTGGAGATAGTTCTTTATCAGATTTTTTTTTTCCTCCCATTTGTGGGAGCCCAACTCTCACATGTATTCTTGAGGCTTAGGAGGTAAAAGATCATTTATCCCTTCTCCTCTATCTCACCTAATGCAAAATTTTTATTGATGCAATATTAGGAGCCACAAAGAATTTTCTGCCCATCTCCATGTGCAGAGAGTTCTTGCTTGTTCTTGTACTCCAGAAGCAGCAGATCTCTACTTGTGTCCTGGAAGTAGGAGGTTTCCCTCTTCCCTTCTTCAAAGGAAGAAGGCTTCTGCTTCTACTTCTCCCAAGAAGCAATGACTTTTTTTTACTGGGTCTTGTGCTGGAGTAAGAGAATTTACCATTCCTTCTCCATTTGCCTAGTATAAAAGGTCTTATTCCAGGAAATAAAATTTAGATGGAAATATGATAAAGTACCTGCCTTCCAAGATCTTTCATTTTAGTTGAGGAGACAGATGAACAGTGACATAATATCACATATCCTATCACATATTAAGAAAATGAAATTTTTAAGAAAGGCTTAGGCAGGATAAGGGGTTAGAGAATGATGGAATAGAGGGCTAATTCTCTTTTTGTTTGTCAGAAAGAGTGACTTTTGAAAAAAGACTTGGATTAAAACCAGTGTAAAAGTTGGACTTAAATCAAGAGTGTCAAGGAAAGTTTTGTTTCTCCAGGGTAAATGGCACAGACTATATATTTTTAGAATATTGATATATCAGGAAGTTCAAGAAGAAAATCTCCGTGGCTTTTGATCATTTTAGGTGATCTCTGTAGCCTCACCACCTGCATCTCTGAGGATTACCTTCTCTTTTCTTTATCTTATATCTAACAACAAAAAAACCTCTGAATCATCCAATAGCAATTTAATATTATTAAAAATATAAAGATGACAAAAGTATATCTTAGTTTAAATTTGCTCAGAGTTGCATAAGGTCTTTTAGAACGCTCCAAATCAACTCTGATTCTCACACACACAGTGGCGTTGAAATGCAAATTATATTCTTAACTATTGACAAAAGGCCAATATAGAGTACACACAGAATAAGCTATAGCATGGTTTTTGTTAAGAGTAAAAGCCAAAGTCAATACCAGCTTCAGCAATGGTATACACACGAGATGAGCAATTATGCACACATAAAAATCAAGATATCAAATAATATTTTGATACGTGTCAGGAAAATTCCCTACCAGAACCAAGAATGACTCTCGCAAGCAGAGGGCAAAGCAAACCATTCCATGTTGATAGATAGTCAAAGATTTATTCAGCAGGATATTTCATAAGAGGCAATCTTGGGCAGCAGTAAGGTGAGGTAAATCTCTGCATTTGCAATGCATACCTGACTAGTCTTTTATACCATGAAAAGAAAAGGGAAAGAAGAGAAAGAATAAAAAGTGTGTTAAGCCATCTGGTTGGTTTCTTAATCTATTTACTTTCTACTGAAAGGAACTGTTTGTGTCCCCCACAATCTGGTCAACATTCCTAAGGATGCGGTGGGACTGTTCTTCCCCACATCAGTTACCTTGGTGCTTGTATGTTTTCTCCAGTCACTGTGTCCTATGACTGACTTCCTGCTAGGTACCCAGAATACATTTTCACAAAAATATAATAAAAGGAATATGAGAAATTGACATTGGAAATAGACTAATACTAGGTGTCTAATAGTTTAAAAATATGTCCATTTTCTGCTTAGCTAAATTTGGGCAGAAAAATGATACTCTATCCCAAAGTTGTATGGTTATGCTTATTTATTAGAAAACTGTATTTTCTGATTCTGAATCTGCAAATAATTTTTTTTTTACTTTACATATGTTGTTTTTAAGGAACCTCCAGTTCTTTGTGGAACATGTTTGTTTTACCAATTAACTAAGTACATGCATTAATATTTTTTAAATAGTTCATGTGTCTGTCCTCCACTTGTATAATTAAAACATTTTTGCACAAATAAAAACATATGTGTACATATAGATCTATATATGTGATGAAATCATATATAATGAAAACATTTCCTGAACTTTATTCAATAAAACACATGACGTTAAAAATTAGTCTGCAAAAAGGAGTTCTCTAGTCAAATATATTTGGGAAATCTTAGTTTAAATAACATTAAAAATATTTTTTTAGGCTCATTGTGGAACTCAATGAGGCAACCAATTTTGCATTTCCTACAAATAATTTATCACAGATTTTTGTTTTTCTTACAGAACTTTACAAACATCTCAGTAATATCATTTGCAAAACTTAACTAGTCAAATATTAATAATTACTCGTAGAATTATGCACTAATGTAATATACAATATGACAAATATTTTAAATATAATAACACTTAATACAGTAGCTATTTCAATATAGTTCCACTATTTTCTAACGTTACTCTATCTTCCACATTCTACATAATAACCTAGAAAGTTGATGCTACCAACATTACTATAAATTTTTGGCATTTCTAAATGCTGTTCAATATAAGACTTCTCAGCTATTACTTTGTGGACTCTTCAGCAAAATACAGATGACACAGGAAGATTTATTAGAATTAGATCTCATTCTTCAGCAGCAATCAATTGCTATGTGTAGTCCAAGGAGGCAGAGGCCACCCATAGCAAGTCTACCACCCCAGAACTGCTAATAAACTATTGGATATCATCTAATTTCTGCAACCAAGATCTAAAGCCCACAGAGGGGAGACCTAATATGGAATATTCCTTTCAGAAAGCTATTTTATTTGGTCTTATTACTAGAATTAGTTACAACTCTGAAGAAATACAATCCAAATAGGACAAACTGAATTATTCAATGTCACTTAATTATCAAGAGGTTGATCCTGGAAAAGATTTAGAAAGAGCTCTGGGCTCTTACACTATTCCACTTTGAAGCATTGATAGAACTGTTTTCTTACCTTTGTAAGACTTCTTGATTTTAGAATTCTCAAAAGGAAATAGAGTAGAAACCCCTGTAGATCAGGTTTTCTGACCTTGTTCTTTTTATATATATAATTTCAACTTTTATTTTAGACTCGGGCTACATGTACTGGGTATACTGCATGATGGAGGTTTGGGGTACAAGTTATTCCATCACCCAGTGTGATGATGGTTGAATGTCAACTTGATTGGGTTGAAGGAAACAAAGTATTGTTCTTGGGTGTGTCTGTGAGGGTGTTACCAAAGGAGATTAACATTTGAGTCAGTGGACTGAGAGAGGCAGGCCCACCATCTAATCAGTTGCTAGCATGGCTGGGATAAAAGCAGGCAGAGGGACGTGGAAGGACTAGACTGGCTGAGTCTTCTGGCCTTCATCTTTCTTCCATGCTGGATGCTTCCTGCCCTCAAATATCAGACTCCAAGTTCTTCAGCTTTTGGACTCTGGATTTATAGTGGTTTGCCAGGGGCTCTAGGGCCTTCGGCCACAGACTGAGGGCTGCACTGTCAGCTTCCCTACTTTTGAGGTTTTGGGACTTGGACTGGCTTCCTTGTTCCTCAGCTTGCAGACAGCCTATTGTGGGACTTCATCTTGTGATTGTGTGAGTCAGTACTCCTTAATAAACTCCCTTTCATATGTACATCTATCCTAGTAGTCTTGTTCCTCTAGAGATCCCTAATATACCCAGGTACTGAGCATAGTACCGAATAGGTAGTTTTTCAGCTCTTCCTCCACTTCCCTACTGCCAAGTAGTCCCCATGTCTATTGTTCTCATCTTTATGTGCATGTGTATCCAATGCTTAGCTCCCACTTGCAAATAAGAACATGTGGTATTTTTTTTCTATTCCTGTGTTAATTTGCTTAGAATATTGTCCTCCATCTGCATCTATGTGGCTGCAAAGGGCATAATTTTATTTTTTTCTGGCTATGTAATATTCCATGGTATATATTTACCACATTTTCTTTATCCAGTCCACCGTTAATGGGCATTTAGTTTGACATGTCTTTGCTATTGTGAATACCTAGTAATGGAATTGCTAGGTTGAATGGTAGTTTTAAGCTTTTTTTTTTTTTTTTTTTTTTTGAGAAATCTCCAAGCTTTCCACAGTGGCTGGCATAATTTACATTCCCATGAACCATGAATAAGCATTCCCTTTTCTCTGCAACCCCACCAGCATCTGTTATTTTTTGACTTTTTAACAATAGTGATTCTGACCAGTGTGAGGTGGTATTTCATTGTGGTTTTGATTTGCATTTCTCTGATTATTAGTGAATGCTGAGCATTTTTTCATGTTTGTTGGCTGCTTGTTTGTCCTCTTTAGAGACCCACTTTTTAATAGGATTATTTGTTTTTTGCTTGTTGATTTTTTAACTTTTTTATAGACTCTAGATATGCACCTTTGTCAGATATATAGTTTGCAAATATTTTTCCCCATTCTGTAGGTTGTCCGTTTACTCTGTTGATAGTTTCTTTCAGTATGCAGAAGCTTTTTAGTTTAATTAGATACCAGTTGTCAATTTTTGTTTTAGTTGCAATTACTTTTGAGGACTTAGTCATAAATTATTTCCCAAGGCCATTGTCCAGAATGGTATTTCCTAGGTTTTCCTCTAGTTTAAGGTCTTACATTTAAATCTTTAATCCATCTTGAGTTCTTGAGTTGATTTTTGTATATGTTGAAAGGTGGGGATCCAGTTTCATTCTTCTGCAAATGGATAGTCAGCCATCCTAGCACCATTTATTGAATAGGGAGTCCTTTCCCTGTTGCTTATTTTTGTCAACTTTGTCAAAGATTGATGGCTGTAGGTGTGTGGCTTTATATCTGCTTTCTCTATTCTGTTTTATTGGTTTGTGTGTCTATTTTTGTACCAGTACCATGCTGCTTTGGTTATTGTAGGTTAATTGTATATAGTTTAAAGTTGGGTAATTTGATGCCTCCAACTTTGTTCTTTTTGCTTAGGATTGCATTGTCTATTTGGATTCTATTTCGAATCCATATGAATTTTAGATTATTTTTTAATTCTGTAAAAAATGACACTGGTAGTTTGATAGGAATAGTGTTAAATCTGTAGATTTCTTTGGTCAGTATGGCCATTTTCATGGTATTACCTTTTCCAGTGCAAGAGCATGAGATGTTTTTCCATTCATTTGTATCATTTATGATTTCTTTCAGCAGTGTTTTGTAATTATTGTGGAGATCTTTCATCGTGGTTAGATGTATTCCTAGGTATCTTATTTTGTGGCTATTATAAATGAGATTGCATTCTTAATTTGGCTCTCAGCTTGGACATTATTGGTGTATAGGAATGCTACTAATTTTTGTAATTTGGTTTATATCCTGAAACTTTACTGACATTGTTTATCAGTTCCAGGAGCCTTTTGATGGAATCTTTGGGGATTACTAGGTATAGAATCATATAATCAATGAAGAGAGATAATTTGACTTCTTCTTTTTCTATTTGGATTCCTTTTATTTTTTTCTCTTCCCTGATGGCTCTGGCAAGGACTTCCAGTACTATGTTGGATAGGAGTGGTGAGAGTGCACATTCTTGTCCTTGTTCTTGTTCTTAAGGAGAATGCTTACAGCTTTACCCATGCAGTTTGATGTTAGTTGTGGGTTGTCATAGATGGCTCTTAATATTTTGAGATGTGTTCCTTCGATGCCTTGTATGTTGAGGGTTTTTATCATGAAGGGATGTTGGATTTTATTAAAAGGTTCTCCCATGACTATTGAGATGATTTTTATTTTTAATTCTGTTTATGTGTGTCATCCTGTTTTGATCATCAACTCTTCATTTCATTGATGAGAGAGGGCTTCCTGCCCGAGGGTTATGAGGAGAGCTTAACAGTGACACCTGATCCTGGACAAATGAAACAGACCATAGTTTATTAGTCACTTATAGTCACAGCTCAGGAGATGAGAACACTCACTATGCAGGGCCACACAATGGATACTCTCAGGGGAAAAAGTGAACAATAGGAGGATTTAGGAGGCAGATTTTGTAGTATCAAGAGGCCAAAGTGTCCCCTGGGCCCTGCAGAAGGATGTTATTGTTTCCTGTGAATAATTCTACAGGCTACCAATGAACCCACTACACAGGACTAAGCAGGAATTACAATTCACAAGGAGAAATTTCTTTTAGCTAAGGGATCTTATTTACCAAAACGGAGAGGAAGGTAATGTGGTTAATTTATTAAAACCTCTCTCAATTTTATCAGATGTCAAGGCAACAGATAATATTAATTTTAGGCCTTATACCACTTGCTCTTGGCATTATTATCATGTAGGGTTTGGATAAACCTTTGCGGTGGTGGCTCCCATGTGCGTTGTAGGATGTTTTCCTGAAGCCCTGGCCCCTAGCCATTTGATGCCAGTAGCCACTTCCCCCACCATCTCCAGATGCGACCATCAAAAATATCTCCCAGCATTGCTAAATGTCCACCAAGAGACAAAAGCATCCACAGTTGAGAACCATGCCAGACAAGCAGAATTGCATGCCCTCATCTACAAATGTGGATGGGATCTCTATAGGACACCTATGATTCCATTTGAAAATCACATGAGTCTTAGTTACTATAGGAGCATGAAGTACTCATTAGGATTGTTGAGGAAAATATAATCTCTTTATTTGTGTCATTTGTTCCCTTCCCTTCAGACTTTTTTCCTCTGCATATTTGGTCTTTCATGAGTGAATCTATTGATTTATTAAATCTTTTTAGAGTATTTATATAGGTGCTTTGAATACAATGACAAGTAAAAATGATCTTGACCCACATGCAGTTTAGATTTTAGTAAGGGATGAAGATAAGTTAAAAGGAAATAACAGAAAATTAGTATAAACACTATGGAACAAAAGGAGAGAGTCAGCTGCCAACTACTGGTTTTGGAATTTTCCAATAAGAAACAACTACTCTGAAACCTAAAGGATTATTAGAGTTTACAAAATAAGGAGACAAACATAAGAGTGTTATGTGTGGAGGGAGACCCAGATGCTAGAAATTACATTGCACATCCAAAAGAGTGAAAGTTAAATGCATTTCATTTTACAGTGTAAACCTCAACAGATGATTCTAGGTAGGTAAGTTGGGGCCAAATGATGAAGAGACTTGTAGATAATGATAAGGTGATTCCACTTTATATGAAAAAATGAGCTTATTTTGAAAGATAAAGAAGTAAATTTATAGCTTATAATACTTTCTTGAGTTTAGCATGGAGAATGGATTGAGAAAAGAAAACGTGGGGGCAGGCAGACTTGTAAAAAAGATATATGTTTTTATTGTTTTGTTGTTTATTTCAGTTATATAAGTGGGAAACACGTAAGTTACTGTCAATAGAAGGAAATAAAAATTGGTGGGTTTACCAACTTAGTACTAAGAATTTACAGAATTTAGTGGTATATAGAATGAGTTAAGGGGCCGAGTGAAGTTATTTTTAAAGTGATATGAAAGTTTTTGCATCAGCAACTGAGTAGAAAGACAACTTTCGTTGAGATTGGCAACTCAGAATTAGATATAGGTTTTAGTGGCAAAAGGATAGGTCAGTCTTGAAGATAATGAATTTGAAGTGTGTATATGTCAACTCAAGTGGAATTATCAAGTTAGCATTTTACCTATGGATATAGGCAGGAGAACTGGTGATGTGCTATAGATGTGGATGTAACTTGCTTATAATATTCATTGAAACTCTAATGATGAATGAGATTATCCAAGAGGAGTGGGGAAAATACAGGAATCTAATACAGGTCTTGAGGAACAGTGTCATTAAAGACACAGGCAGAAGAAAAGAAGTCTGCAAAGTAGCATGTGAAAAACAGCAACATAGGTTAGAGCAAGCCCTAGAGTTGATTGTCACAGGAGGCGATATTTAAGGAAGTCCTAGTAATAAATGTTAAAAGCTTCTGAAAGAAAAGAAAGTATAATGAAAGATTGATACTTGCCTTCTTGATTTAGTATCCAAAGTGAGTTAATAAATACATAAAAATATATTTCAAAGGTACTTAAGGAAAAAAAACACCAAGCATTGTGTGAGAACAAAATAATAAGAAAAGAAAACTCAAATTATGACTAGGAAGATAATCTGAATGATAAGGGAGTGAAAAGCAGAAAAGGCATTCAAGATACTTTATTGAAGAAATTGACACAAATAAAATTTGTTGTGCAAATGAGAAAAATATGATTTTAGAAGCCTGAGAAGATCAGGAGGCAGTTTTGAAGTTGGCTTTGGAAGCTTCAATTTTTTTCATCATGCTATAAACTTTTGCTACTGTGTCTTTTTTTTTTTTTTTTTTTTTTTTTTTTGAGACAGAGTCTTGCTCTGTCGCCCAGGCTGGATTGCAGTGGTGCTATCTCGGCTCAATGCAAGCTCCATCTCCCGGGTTCACACCATTATCCTGCCTCAGCCTCCCGAGTAGCTGGGACTACAGGCATCCGCCACCACACCTGGCTAATTTTTTGTGTTTTTAGTAGAGACGGGGTTTCACTGTGTTAGTCAGGATGGTCTCAATCTCCTGACCTTGTGATCCACCCACCTCGGCCTCCCAAAGTGCTGGGATTACAGGCATGAGCCACCGCACCTGGCCGCTACTGTGTCATTTTCTAAAGCATCCTATGCCAAAGTGTAGAGAAGAAGCATTGGTTTAATCAAGTGGTACATTTTAAAAACTGAATGGAATAATAGAAAATGAAGAAATGGAGCCTATGATATTTTGCCTGGTGTGGACTAGATATCTTAGTTGACTGAGATTAAAGATATGGATTAGAAGAGACTGATATACAGAGGAGAATTAGGAGTGTCCTTGTTGATAAAAGAATAAATGCATTGAGAATCAGAAGAGAAAGAGGAGTCTTTTTGGCAAAAGGGTGAGTTTATATTTAGCATTTAAATAGAGCTGTTCAAGGAGATGACAGAGTGGAGTCTGTTGCAATTGGATGGGGAGGCTAAAGTGGAGTGGACTTCCAGGTCACTCAAGTGCTACTAAACTAAGAGACTAACATGGCTGTTGAGTTATGCTTACTTCTATTTTCTGTGAATAGATTAACATTCTAACTGAACTTACTTCTGAAGAATTTCATCTTAAAATTGCCATTTACTTCTTTCAAAGCTTAATGAAAAAGTGGAGTAAACTCATTACCTCTATTTCATCATCAGTCACTTCATCTGACGGGGTATTGATAACTTCTTGTTTTCAATTTCTATCTTCCTCAGGGATATTTCTACAACATCTGAAGGCATTGATTTTACCTGGTTAGATATTATCTTCTCAAATTTACTGCACAGCAACGTGCACTCTCAATTCTCTTCCATCTCTGATGATTATTTCCACGTCTCCTCTTTGGCAGCTTTCCTTAAGACATATCTGTCTAAATATACAAGATTTACTGACCAATAGTTTTGTCTGTTTCATTGGTTCACAAAGCTTCAACAAATGTCATTTTCATGAACATTACTGTCAAATCTATTTTTTAATAAGAATTTTTAAAAATAGTTTGAAAATTATAATCTTATAGAGACTTATTATGATGAAATAGCTGATATTCATTTATTCATTTCCAAATTCAAATTGCTAATTAATTGCTGGACATTTCAAGTAAGTATATGATCTCTTGGCTCCTCAAATCCAACATAAGAAAAACAAACTTACTTCTTTTTAAATCAAACTTCATCTTCCCTATTTAGTAAACACTTTCACAATTATTTTTTAATACAATAAACAATAATTTATTGGCTCACAGTTCTGGAGGCTGGGAAGTCCAAGATCAAGATGCCAACATCTTGCAAGGGTCTTCTTGCTGTGTCATCATGTGGTGGAAGGTGAGAGGGTAAGCGGGAGTGAATCCACTTTTTCAAGCCCTTTTTATGATGGCATTAATCCATTCATGAGGGCTCTGCCTTTGTGACTTAATTACCTCCTTAAGGCCCTACCTTCCAACATTATAACATTGGGTGGGTTAGGTTTCAACCTGTGAATTTTGGAGGGGACACACACATTCAAACCATAGCACTGAAGTATCAGAAAATGAACTATTTGAATGTTGAAATTACCAAGAATTATGACAGGATTAGAATTGGAGAGAAACGAGTACAATTTACCAGTAGAAAGTATTAGAAGACAAATAAACATATACAGCAAATGACCCATTTGTACATAGGAATCATTTCATATATATGAATTCATAATTTAAGATGATTGTTCAAATTTGTGTGGAAAGGACGGGATACACTGTAAATGATATTGGAACAACTCTATTCACTGGGAAAATAATACAGTTTTACTCATTCCTCACGCTATCTACAAGAGTAACTTTTAAAGTGACTAAATTCTCATAATATTGAGATGCAGAAAGTTTTCCTAAGTCTGAGATCACAAGAAATGGTAATAGTTAATATTTATTGCACCATGTCCTATGGTGGTTACCATTCTAAGAACTTGGTTTTTAATTTACCTTTTTTTATAAGTTCAGGGGTACATGTGTAGATTTGTTATATAGGTAAAGTTTGTCATGAGGGTTTGTTGTATAGATTATTTCATCATCCAGGTATTAAGCCTAGTACCCATTAATTATGTTTTCTGATCCTCTCCTCCTCCCAGCCTCTACCCTCAAGAAGGCCCCAGTGTCTGTTGTTGCTCTCTACGTGTTCATGTGTTCTCGTCATTCAGCTCCCACTTATAAGTGAGAATATGGGATATTTGTTTTCTTTTTTTTTTTTTTCCTGTTCCTGCATTAGTTTGCTAAGGATAATGACCTCCAGCTACTTTCATGTTCCCACAAAGGCCATGATCGTGTTCTTTATTTTGGCTGCATAGTATTCTGTGGTGTATATGTACCACATTTTCTTTATTCAGTCTGCTATCGATGGGCATTTAGGTTGATTCTGTGTCTTTGCTATTGTGAAGAGCACTGCAATGAACATGTGCATGCATGTGTCTTTATGGTAGCATGATTTATGTTCCTTTGGGCATATACCTAGTCATGGGATTGCTGGGGTGAATGATAGTTCTGTTTTCAGCTCTTTGAGGGATCCATCATACTATCTTCCATAATGGTTAATATACTTTATACTCCTACCAACATTGTATAAGCATTCCCTTTTCTCCACAACCTCACCAGCATCTGTTATTTGTTGACTTTTTAATAGTAGCCATTCTGACTTTTGTGAGATGATATTTCATTGTGGTTTTGATTTGCATTTCCCTAATGATCAGTGGTGTTGAGCTATTTTTCATGTAATTGTTGCCTACATGTACAACCCCATTAAAAAGTGGGCAAAAGACATGAACAGACACTTTTCAAAACAACACAATTATTTCACTCATTTGAACTGTAAGACCTCTACTTTAGTCATAACCCAAATCTCTAGCCTGCTTTTTTGTTGTTGTTGCAGTTGGAATCTGGTGCCCTTTATAAACTTCAGTATGCTCTGTGACTCCTGTCTTTATTGCTCCTACATCCTTTTACTCTTGCTATTTTGTCAACCTAGAATAACTTGTTCATTCTTCTCTGCCTGGTGAAATTCTACCCATTCCAATAGGTACTGGTTCAGATATATCCTTTACTCCATAATCATTAGAGGAATAACCATGAAGCATACATATTATGTTCTCTATTTTTATTTTTTAATATCCAACTTTATACACTCATTCTGCAGATACTAAACCTGTTTGAAAATCTCTCATCAAAAGACTGTGTTTTCTAATTAAGTATTGAATGAATATTTTATACATTTATTATTTAATGAATCTCTTTGCCTTATTGGTATTTTTTCTATAAATCCATGAATGTCTTTTGATTTAGCATCTGCCTTTAAACTTATACTTTCGTACTTCATTTTTGGAGGATTTATAAATTATTAAATATACTTTTTGAAAATGAAAATGGCATCTCATTGAGAGTCTTACTGAAGACCTAGTAAAATCAATAGCTTTTTACTTTCAGGAGGCCTGCATTATTGTTGTCGAGTTCAAAATCATCTTTCAAAATCAAGAATTGACATCAGTTCATTACCCACGGGTGAGTACACACATACACACACATGCACACACACACCATATTTACACATAGGTGCTGAGAATCTGTTCAGTGATATATTTGCAAATAATCTTCAAAAATATGATTTTCATATTTGTGTGGACCTATTTATGCATTTCCTCATTCCTCATATCAATTAACCTATTAACCAAGAATTACAAGAATATAGAAAGGAAGAATGAGACAGTGACAGTGTTTGTTCCTAAACAGAGACTGTTAGAAAATTCAATATGATAAGAAAATAAATGATAAGGCAAAGCCTACTACCTGATTTCCAGGTTTAATTCGCATTTACTGTTTTACCAATTCTGGAAATAAGGAATATGGTTATTTTTATTACTATCTGTGCTTATGTAGTAACCAGCCTCCATCAAAGAAAATGTGAAATGTAGTAGAAAAAAGAAAGTAGCAAAAGTTTAAAAATAGCTTAATTTCACAGTAATTCAAGTAATCATACTATGCTATGCCATTAGTGAAGAAATGAGATTTCCTCTGGAAATCTCTTCTCCAGTCCCAGGCCTTTTGCTTTATATTAGATTCTAGTAAAGCCACAAAATATTTATCTATATTATATGTTATGACATTTTATGTTAAGAAATATAATAAAGTGTTTCATCATTTATACACATTTCTTTATTCATAATTTCACTTTTCGTGTTCTACTGACTGAAGTAGCTATAACATTTTTTTTCTGAATGTACAGACTGCTGAGGCCTAGATTAAAAACCTATATTTAGTTAGTTTGTTTGCATTTCATTTCCTGTATCTGTGAGAAAATGAATGCTTAAATGACTTTTAGCATGGTTGCTTAAGTATTTGTTCCTTTTCCTGTTGTGGTGGCAAGAGTCTTATTAAATTTTGTTTTAAGGTGGATACTTTAAGTGGCCTTTCTTTGTATAAACTGAAAAACTGGCAATTTTAAGGAACATTTAAAGGTAGATACAGTTAAAATAAAACATTTATTTGCATTGCTCTTGGAGATAAGAATGAAAAACATTTAAAACAAGAAAGAGATCTTTTTTAGGATTTTTATTTTTGAAATGTATTATGAGAAAATTTTGAGTAAACTATGTTAAATTTAATTAACTACAGTAATGTAGGATTAAATACAATAAAATTTTTTATTACTTTTTACTGTATTGTTTCTTATAAGTTTTTATTTTTCTCAACAAGATATATTCTCTTTCACTTTAAAGAGAAGTCTAATAATACTAATTAAGCCCTAGTATAAATTCTGGTATTGAAATTATGCTTGTTTGTAATTATTAAAAGGGCTTTAAGATAACAGTTTTTGGGAAAAGGGGCTTAAGACAACAGGCTCTTTGGGTTTATTATTATTTATAGCAGTTGACTAAAAAATAAGTAGTGATATTATTAGTAGTAATACTACTATTAGTATTATAATAGTAGTAATACTATTAGTAGTATAATAGTAGTAATACTATTAGTAGTATAATAGTAGTAATACTATTAGTAGTAATACCACTATTAGTATTATAATAGTAGTAATACTAAAATCAAGTCATAGACTCTAAAATGGACATGCATCTTTTCATTAATATTGCAAGACAGTAGCAAAAGTTGTCAAAGAGCTGAGTACAGATAGGTTCCAAAAACTGACAGTGAAACAAAACCATTTATTCATTCATCACTGATTTCAATGTACAGATACAAGGCAAACGTTGAAATGCCTAGGTATATCTAATAAAGAGTCACCGAGTCATCAAAAATCACTACAAGGCAGTTTGAGAAAAAATGGCAGCATGAAGGCAAACATTCTGTTTACTACCATTCTTAAAACTATCTAAAACAACCAAAAAATAAAAATCAAGGAAAAGTATGTTAATAAAGCAGAGAAAGTAAAAATTCGAAACCAAAAATATGAAGAAAAATAATTCATACCATAAATTTGAATATATATGAAGTACAATGTTGACAGCATATATGCAAATCAATAAACCTCAGGTGGATGTACACTTTCCTAGAAGTAGTAAAGTAACTGTCACATCTTTAAGGTTCCACCTACCAATCTGAATTACAGTGAGCATATCTAACAGTGAGGGCCTACCATGGAAAAAGCGTGTGTGTATGTGTGTGCGCGCACGCGCATACACACATAACATAATGTTATGTTAGACATAGCATTATGCTTAAGCAGATCCAGATATGCATGAATATATTGGAGAGACACTGGACTCATGCCAAAATTGAATTTTGATTTTTCATAGCCTATGTATATGACAGAGATTATTGTGGCGAGATGGCATAAAAGAAGGAGAAGCAGCAATTGCAAGATTATCACAGCTGAATTCCTTCAGTAATTGCCACTAACTTGCTGAAATTAAGGAGAGACGTCCTTTCAGGGCAATAATCTTCTGGGGAAGAGATGTTTTATCGAAAACATGAAATTAAAATGTTCTCTAGTTCTCTCTTTTCATTATTTTCCCTCTTGAGTTGAGTGATTTTCAAAGGTTAATACTAAAAACAAATAAACCATCATGGAACTAGAGAACATAAACTTAAGCAAATGAAAAGGAATGTAGCAAAATGTAGATAAATAATATTGCAAAAGGAGTGGCCTAAAGAATCTTCTGAGGGTAGACAAACAATGCTTCATAGTTTCAAAGAAATTACAGAATGTTACACATAAAATGAATTAAAGGAGAGATGTTAAGAAAAGATATAAAGAGGGAATATGAATTTAAAGAAGTGATCATTAAAAGAAATAACTACAAAAGAAATAGAAAACATTTAAGAGATGAGAGACATAATAAAAATAACAAAATGTAGACTCAACAGGAAAGAAAATAGAGTCAAGTAAGGATACAATGGCTATGCTCGGTAAAATCACACAAAAAATGAAAAACAATTTCATTAAAATGATTTGAAAGATGATAGATATTATAGAGAGACTAAGGAGATCCAACATAAACATAATTGGGAACATTAAGAAAAGAAAAATCACAAATATACGCTCACCAAATAAAAATACATAATAGAATAAAATCAGGCATAGAGATTTTAATGTAAATATTTTAAAGGTATATAGTCAAGAAAAATAAATTGCTAGAAAACTATCACTCAGGAATAACCTTTTAAAATTTCTGAAATTCAATGGGAAGAATAATTCAATAGGCCCTTAGACAAATAAATAAAATCATCTCTATGGGAAAAATGTCAGCCTGCCTTATATTTCTCTATAATGATATTTAAGCATGGAAGGTGTTGAAAAACTGTATAGTAAATTTTTTGTCAACTTACACATGACCAGTGATTTTCTATGTTTTATCTTTCATACATCTTGAAATGTGTAAAAACTCATAGAGCTCATAGCTCATTCTGAAAAGGAAATCTTGAAGATAAATTTTAGAAATCCCAGAAAATAATCAAAATTAAGTATTCAACAAAGGAAAGCTATTGTAGAAGGACAAATAGACAACAGAAGATTATCTTTTAATAAAGAAATAGGTGGAACAACTGTATGTGTTATAATTAATGAGGATATTGTGAAATATAAACTTGACAATAAAACAGTAAAGAAAAAATGCTAAAGTAAAACGAAGCAAACACAAAAAAATCCTAGAGAGAAGAGAGGTGAGGAGTGGAGGTGTACTTTTCCTATTCTTCACCTTTTTTTGCAGAGAGTAAATAGCTGCCTTTCTTGCTTTGAAATATCTATCATCTTTCAGATCATTTTAATGAAATTGTTGGTTTCCATTTTTTGTGTGTGTGATTTCACCAGACATAGCCGTTGTATCCTTACTTGACTCTATTTTCTTTCCTCTTGAGTCTACATTTTGTTCTTTTTATTATGTCTCTCATCTCTTAAATGTTTTCTTTCTATTTCTTTTGTAGTTATTTTTTCTTTTAATGAACACTTCTTTAAATTCATACTCTGCCTTTATATCTTTTCTTAATATCTCTCCTTTAACTCATTTTATGTGTATCATTCTGTCATTTATTTGAAACTATGAAGCACTGTTTGTCTACTCTCAGAAGATTCTTTAGGCCACTCCTTTTGCAATATTATTTATCTACCTTTTGCTATATTCCTTTTCATTTGCTTAAGTTTATGTTCTCTGGTTCCAGCATGCTTTATTCATTATTAAATATCTTAAACAAGATATTTAAAAAACAAAATATACTATACTCTGCACAATAGCCCAATTCTTAATCTCTTCTATGTCTTTTCAAAGAAAGCTATAAAAGCAAAAATAACAAATAAAACCACACAGCCACAGCCTCCATACATATTTTCTTATTACTAGTAAACAGAGAACATCATATCCTTGAAATACAGATAAGTAGAATAATCAAAACCAATTCTAAAAGAACTCCCATTGCAAAGAACAAAGAGTGGAGGTTTAAGGCATTCTGTGACACAGAGAGGAGAGGAAGAAAGGACCTAGCAGAAGCACAGATGAAATCACCCCCAGAATAAAGAGAAAGTGCAGATAAATGCCACATTACTAAACGCAGATCAGCAAGTGGTAGTTCACAGCTTTGACTAGAAGGAAAGGACTAGAAGCTATGTATAATAAGGGGTATCCATCTCTGGAAAACATGGTTTCTTAGGTAGAAGTAGGTATGTAGTGAAGTGCTGGTAGTCCTTGGAGACATTGTAGGGGAGAGAAAGAAGAAATAAGAGGGGAAAACCAAAGATCCTAAGAAATTAAAGAAAAAAACTATGCCTTCTCTTCTTTTTCAAGTAGAAAAAAATGCAGTTATGTTATACCTAAATGTTGTATTAAATGCTTTACTCTGAAAAGAGATAACAAGCCATTTTTCAAGTGCCTATGATATTTGCACAATAACTAATTCTATACTTAGAGTTCACATATAAGAGAGAAATGAAGATTCCAAATATATCTAAATAGTGAAAATACGTAGATAACTTCATCCAATTGTAGCTCGGTAGCAATAGATATTAATGAACTAAGAAAAAAATGTGCTCTTTTAACTGGAAATAAGAAATGTTCTCCTTCAATGCTTGGCCAAAAAATGAGTTTATAATGTAAACTTCAAAATATCTAGAAAATATCAAATATCCTATCATATATAGTTACTCTCCCTTGGTTTGTCTTCCGTTTTCTTTGTGAAAATGCATGGAAAGAGTTTACAACTCTAGTTATTTCCCCAATTCTGTTTTAATTCATTTAAAGGAGAGTGCTGGTCCTCTTTACCAATACCTGTTGTTCAAAAGACATATGTTGGTATGCATCTACTCCAAAGAATGAAGTAGAATTCTAGGTGCTGACATGCAAAGTTCTCCAAGAGATATTTTCAGTGTTATATGTCATATAATCCTTGTGTAGGTTTTTAAATGGTGTATCTCCAGGGAGACACATATACTAGGGCAGTGGTCTCCAACCATTTTGGAGCCAGGGACTGGTTTTGTGGGAGATAATTTTTCCACAGACCTGGGGTTGGAGGTGGCTTTGGGAGGATTCAAGCATATTGCATTTATTGTGCACTTTTTTTCTATTATTATTATGTTGTAATATATGATGAAATAATTATACAACTGACCGTAATGTAGAATCAATGGGAGACCTGAGCTTGTTTTCCTGCAACTAGATGATCCCATCTGGGTGTGATGGGAGACAGTGACAGATATCAGGCATCAGATTCTCATAAGGAGCACACGACCTAGATCCCTCGCCCGCACAGTTCACCATAGGGTTCATGCTCCTATGAGCATCTAATGCTGCTGCAGATCTGACAAGAGTTGGGCAGTATTGTAAGCCATGGGGAGCAGCTGTAAATACAGATGAAGCTTTGCTCACTAGCATGCCACTCACCTCCTGCTGGGTGGCCCTGTTCCTAACAGGCCACGTGGGTTGGGGACCCGTACTAGGGTATGCACACTTTTTGCAAGGAATAATGGAAATATGATGTTAACTATTAAGGATGAATGGAATAGATAAAACATTTTTACTTTATATTTTACTACATTTTCTACCATTTTAATTTCTAAACCATGAATAATAAACTTTTATTTAAAAATAAAACGAGGTGTACGTGAATAGTGGGCTTATTGACCACTTTTTTTTCTTTTTAACAGTACTTTACATTAGTAATATGCCTTTACAAAAAACAAATGTAAGTTAAGAGATAATGCCAAAGTGGGTACTATATGTAAAATGAGGAGGCCTACGCACAAAAAAAAAAAAAAAGAAAGGAAATTTAACATCAAAATTACTTAAAATATCAATGCAAAATCTTAGGTTATTATTAAACAGAATATTTCACATACCATGAACAAGTGAGATTAATCATGGGACTTAAAGATGGTTTACTATTTATGAATCTATGGTATAATTCAACATATCAAAAAAATAAAAGACAGATCATTAGTATAAGTGACAATAATGCTTTGTTAAACTTCACCTTTTTTTTTACAGTAAATAAAACTATATAATAAAGGTATTTACACAATTCCTTATCATACCAAACTAACTTTATCTCAATCCCAGAGTGACATCATGCAAAAGAGAAAACTTACAGTAACACTCAATTAAAATAAATAAAGATAGCTATGTCTATTATTGCCAATATCAAAAAACATTGATTTGAAACTCTTAGCCATCAGGAAAAATAAGAAAATAAATTAGAGTTATAAAAATTAGAACTAAGGTTGAAAATTACCACTTTATTCAGACGATATGACCTGGAACACAACATCAGATCTAGTGGAAAAACTGCCCGAACACTAAACAGTATCATGAAGATGTCTAGATAAAAAGTAATAAGTAATCCATCAATTTCATACATACAAAAGCCACTGAAAATATATAATGAAAGAGGAAACCCATTTAAAGTAGCAACAACAAATAAAATACCTAGGGCTAACACTAACAATGGCGAAATACTTATACAAAGGTAACTTTAAAGTATTTGTAAGGGACATAAAAATGTCTTGATGAAATATAATAGTATGCTTTCCTTTGGGAAGACTTGAAGTATAAAGATGTCACTTCTTTTTAAAATAATCTATTAATTTAGGGCAATCTCAATAAAAAGTACCTACAGGATATTCTTTGGTGAAGTTAATACTCATGTAGGTAATAAACTAGCAAATGTGTCCAGGAGAATTTTGAAAAAGAAAGCAACAAGAAGGAACTTATTCTATTAGATATGAAAACAACTTACAATGCATGTCCTGGTACTCGTTAATGAATAAGATGAACAAGCAATGGCATGCAAACAATTGAATAAAGCTACAAAGTAAAACTTGAAATATTATATGTGTGGCATACTAATTAGTAAAAAAAAATCTGAATTATTGAGGAAATTCTATTGTAACATTACAGTCATATTGCAAAAGTAAAGTTGGATCTATTCCTCAGTTCTTAAAAGTTATTAAATTTAAATGGAAATGATACTTAAAAATAACATTAAAACAAAATATCTTAGAAATTTCTTTAGACATTATAAATGTCCAACTCATGAAACAAGTATACAAAGATTATCTACAGATAAATAATACCCATAAACCAACATGAAAAAGACTAAACACAGTACTAAGAAATTGGGAAAAGACAGACAGTTCACTAAAAGGATATAAAAGGGCCCTAAAGCATATGAAAATATGTTCAACCTCTTTTATAATATGAGAAAGACAGGAAAGATAAACTTTTGCTGATATACAGTTTATCACCTATCAGATGGTTAAAGATAAATGTCTAATCATTTTTATTGAAAAATATCTTATGGATGTGTAAATTGGTATAACATGTATGGAGGGCAATTGAGAATACCCATCAACATTATACATGATAGATATCCTTTGGCCAGCAACTCCAATTTCCAGGAATTTATCCTGTGGATTCAGTCACACTTATAAGCAATGAGGTATGTGGTTAATGAGTACAACACTGTTAGCAATTGCAAAAGATTATAAAGGATGTCATGTTCATGTTTGAAGACAACTGGCTACATTGTGATACATCCATAGGTTGCCAATTCAGCCAGGAACACAAAAACTAAGTAGAAATTCTTTATCAATATTGAATGTTCTCTAAGATATATTTTAAGTGGAAATATATGCAAAACAATGGTACTTTTCATACATGAAAATAAAAATATATACACATGTATACATATGTATACCAAATATATGTATGTATATATGTATACAAAATGATTTCTGGGATGATATACAAGACATTGATAATGTTACCTGAGGAGAGGGTCTGGTAATTGAGAATTAGAGGTAGGAGAGAAAGATTTCACTTTATCACATTTTGAATTTTTTTGTATTTTAAGCCATATCAAATATTTTCTGTTCAAAAATAAACTCTAAGCATTTTAATTTAGAAAGATTAAAAGTCAAAAATTATCATAGATTTCATTCTTGAATATTATAAATAAAAATTAATTATAAAAGTTTATAGAACAATAACAATAAGCCTGAAGAAATAAAAACCATTCTCCTTAATGACTAATAAATCATGAAAAGATCAAATGTGCAATTAGAGGCTTAAGAAAATCATGGCGATATACACATCACACATCAAAACAAATGGGATCCCATTAAAACTATATGAAAATTAAAACCATAAATTTTAATAAAAGGAGAAAGACAATAGCTGAACTTTATTTGTTTATAACTCAAATTATAACTATAACCAAATTGAGGGAAAAAGAAAAACCTGGAATAGCAGACACTTATTAATGAATTGTATAATTTAAATTATTAATAGATTCGTGATGAACTCAAACACTGGCTTCTGATGCACTGAGGTAACCTCTGGTAAATGTAGTCAATAGCAATAGAAAGTGAAATAACATTGTATATGAGGAAGTGGGGGAAAGAGACATAGGGATAATTATAATATATTTAAAATCTATATGCTCATATACTATTACCTATAAAATACAATGAATGTAGAATCTTACCTGACTTCTTTTTCTTTTACCAGCACCCAAAACACAGAAGTGTAACAAAAAGATACGAGAAAAGTAAAAAAAAAAAAAAACAAAAAACAGTAAACGCTCTCTGGAATAAGAGAAATTGTTGATCCAAGAAGAAATGCTGACTATATTATTTATACTGAATTTATTACAACCTAAGAATTACCCATGTAACAAGATAATGAAAAAAATAAGATACAAAGTAGGGAAAAATATTTAAAATTGCTAAAATTTTTACTCTGTATCAGGTACTGTCCTGTCTTAATAACCAGTTTAATCTCTCTCAACAATCATTTTATATAGGTCCAAATTTACAAATGAGGAAATTAATGAAACAAGACACTGAACAATGTGTCTAAGAGTACACACAGAGTACATTGCTATGTCAGGATTCAGACCTAATCTGTGTGGTTGTAGATCTGAGATTCTTAACCACCGTGCCATCCTCTCTACCAAGAAATTCTCAAAGCATTGACCAACCCCACTTCGGAACCAATGAGTCCAGTAACACAGAAACAAAGGACTCTAGCAAAGTAACCACAAAGTAATTTCATAAAAATCAGTAGAAGACTGATTTAGCCTGAAATAACTCATGGTGGTAGTAATCTACACCATGAAAAACAGCTACTTTTAAAACATTCATTATTATATCACTGAATAGAACTAATGATATACTGTTAACATGTTGACACATGATAAAATTGGCATCAGTTGGGGAAGAAGCTGTACAGTGATCCCTATCTTACGGTGACAATTGTCTGAATACCAAACTATGTTCTATATAGTACAATATTTTTATAGAAGAATATCTGAAGGGAAATATAATATGGTCATGAATCACCTAACAGGAATATAGTTTGAGAAATGCACTGTTAGTAGATCTTGTCCTTTTGTGTACGTCATAGAGTGTACTTTCACAAACCTAGATGATATAGTCTCCTACATACTTAGGCTCAATGATATAGCCTATTGCTTCTAAGCTACAAACCTGTACAGCATGTTACTATACTGAATACTGTAGGCATTTGTAACAGAGTGATACTTGTGTACCTTAACATATATAAACATACAAAGGGTGCAGTAAAAATATATTTCTATTATAATCTTATGACAACATCACTGTATAAGTAGTGCATCATTGACTGAAATGTCATTATGCAATGCATAACTGTATATTCTTATGGTAGGTTTATAAATAGATGTTAATTGTGTTTTTAAAATTTTTTCATTTAACAACATCTTGCCTATGGGCATGGCTTTATTTTCTTTTATCAGAATTCTGTCATTTTTTTATCCTATTGCGTGGCTAATTATTTTTTTCTTAACATCATTTTTATGCCAAAAGCTCTAATACCTCAGCTTTTTATAGTCTATCCTAGAGCCTAGGGTTAAACCTGACATCAATTATCACTATCTCTTATTTCTTGGACTCAAATTGATTCTTATCTAGTCTTTCCCAGACACTGGCATTTGTGTAATTCTTCTTGATGCTTGAATTTTTATTATTTTTTTCTTCCTTGAGACAGAGTCTTGCTCTGTTGCCCATGCTGGGGTACTGTGGCACAATCATGGCTCACGGCAGCCCCAACCTCCCAGGCTCAAACAGTTCTACCACCTCAGCCTCCCAAGTAGCTGGGACTACAGTTGTGGGCCCACCACCACACCCAGATACTTTTTAAAAATTTTTTGATATTTAGAGATATGTTGCCCATTCTGGTCTTGAATTCCTGAGCTCAAGTGATCCTCCCATCTCAGCGTCCCAAAATTCAGCTGGAATTGTAGGTGTAAACCACTGCTCCTGGGCTGTACTTGATATTTTGATAGATGTATATGACATAACAAATGCTTAATTCTTTTCTTTAGTATCCTTGGTAAATACTAATTAAAATTAAACCTGTTGACTTTGAAGTAGAAGGGTACTCACTAGTTTCTGGGAGCAAGTTTCATCTTTGAATGGCTATGGCTTTTAGAAAAACTTCATATTATTTGTGTTAAAATTAGGCACCCTATAAATCTGTTGACTTAATGCTAGTACCTGGAGCTACAAAGAAAATGTTAATCCTTTCTTCATACCCTGTGGCGCACATCACAAACTCTACCTGCAGCAACACCTTTGCAATGTAACTTTGTAACTCCTCCTACTAATATCAATCAGGAATTGATGGGAGAAGTGAAAATAGTAGGATTGCTATGGAATAGGGGATTTATTAAATAAAATTGGACCAAAGGCCACTGTGGGAGCTGGTTAAATAATGTTATGTGTCTTAGTTTGTCTTCCGTTGCTATAACACATATCACAAACTGGGTAATTTATAAAGAAAATGAATTTATTTCTTATAGTTCTAGAGGCTGCCAAGTCCAAGGTTGAGGGCCATATTTTGTGAGGGCTTTTGTGCCACATCATAACATGGCAGAGGGCATCACATGATGACAGGGCAAGAGTGTGCCAGCTCAAGTCTCTCTTCCTCTTCTTAAAAAGCCAGTAGTCCTATCATGGGGGACGCACCTGATGAGCTTATCAAATACTAATTACCTCTCAAATTCCCCACCCTTAAATGCCATCAACATATGAATTTGGGGATTAAGTTTTTAACAGGTGAAATTTAGGGGACACATTCAACCCATAGCAGTATGTATACCAGTTGCTTTTGTGCCTACTACCAGGCAGTTAGGAAGATGGGCTTGTATTGTGGGAGAAGGAGGACAAACTTGGAAACTATGAGGGCTACCTTGGAACCCACAAGTGCAAACTGGAAGCAACATTGCCTCTCATTACCTCCAAGCATCAAATGTGATGAAATAGGTAACCTATAGGAGAAGTTGGCACCCTCCATTAGGAAGCTAAATACCTTCTCTAGGAGTGGGATAAGCTGAAGGAGGAGATTGTTGGGAAGAAAAGGACTGTTGTGTCTCTCAAATTTCTGTACATTTTGTGAGATGAGGTAGATGACTTTAGTTCCAGACTCTTTTCTCAAGAATGTGTGTATAACGAACTGCCTTGGAAAATATAGTTTCTCCTTTCAGGGCAAAGATCATATTTGTTTGCTGATTAATATAATAAAAATACTGTTTTCCTCTGTGCATAGGTTGGGAAGGTTTGCTTGTGGCTCCTTTAACATATTAGGCCTTTTTAAGCACCGTGTTTCTCAATTTCAGTGTACAGTATAAACCTGGACCACTCCAGGCTGACCGTGTGGGTTTTGGAAAATAAGGAGAACCAGTACAAACATGAAGTTTATGCTGATTGTTGTGTCCTAAATAATAAAGTCCTTTGATTCTGATCCAAGAGTTTTGTATCTTCTGCCAGCTTCCATGAAATTGTAGCAGGATAATATGTTAGATTGCAAGGTGAGTAAAATCTGAGATCTTTCACAGTTTTTGACAGAGATTCATAGAACCTGGAGGAGATGTAAGCCTGGCTATGGCTTCACAGGTAGTTCGACAGGTAAGCCAGGAGATCTGTAACAATTTGCATTTGCTACAATGCTGCAAAAGTGCCTGTCTTACACCCACATTCCTAATATTAACATGGCTGCTGCTTCACTTTCACCTTCTAGGTTCCATGCAAATTTCTCTAGTAGCCAATTTTGCCCAGATCCATGCAGGAAAGAGAATTCTAGGATACACGGTTTCAGTTTAGATAAATCAGTGGAATACGCAGCCACTACACAAGAGGAGTTTATTTCTTTACCCATTCAATCTGGGCTGTGTGGTGTAAGGCCTGAAAGTAACATGCAATTAATTAAGTGGTTTCTTGATATCTTTGAGTCTCACATGGACCCAGCACCCTACCACGAGTTCCCCAATCTTTGCCAGATATACCTTCCACCAAATAGGCAAGCCTCTCATCTAAACAGTTCCTTTATCAGCCAGACCAGGTTCACTCTACCTGGTTCTCAACCTAATGGGCTTCACCTTCCTTCTAACTTACAAAATTACTCAAACAAGCCAGTTACATTCTCCCATGGGAACCAGAAGGTACTTTGGGGGGGTTCAGTCAGGATGGTGGGAGAAATTGTAAAATTACAGGAATAGAAAGAAGGAAACCTTCTTGGAAGGCTGGGGAGTTTTGCATAACTTCAGATAGTTTGGCTGAAGGCAGCCAGATTTTCTTTTCAGGAGCCAGAGAGCTTAGGGCACAGATAGAAAGGAATGTAGAGTAGTTTACCTAAATAGCTTGTTTACTCATGTGGTCCTAAAATCAACCTTCATTCAAGGGCAAGATGGCCCTGTCCCAGGTCGGGGTGACCAGATTAATTACCCACAGGTGTGTTGACTCAAGCCTTTGTCAATTAAATCTATACTGAATAAATGCGAGCTTTGCTGGCTGATCTGGGCCATGGCTGCTACTCTTTACAACACCTTCCTTGGTGTCCGTGAGGGGCCCGGACCCTAAGCCGGACTGACAAGCAGAATATCTGTGTCAATGTACGTTATTTGTCTGTCATTGGGTCAGGGTCTGTGGGATGGACCCCTGCAGCACTCCTATGAATGTTGCTGTCCACAGACTCGTCTGGTTCCCTCTGACCCAGAGAGCAGCTCCCATGTGTCCCTATGTGTAACGTGGTTTCCTCTTCCCCTAGGCTGTAAGTATATATGATCACTAAACTGCCATCAAGGTCATCTATCAAGACTCAGATGTTGTGTGTTTAGCAATAACCTACGACAGGAATTCCTTCTTCATTGACTGCTTGAAGAGGGGGTAAATAACACAGACTGAACTTGAGACTTGTTTTGGCTTAGGTGATTCAGTGGAAGTGATGCTGTGGTTCTGAGCCTAACCTTGAGAGTCTGCTATGATTTGAATGTATGTCTCTCCAAAATTCATATGTTGAAAGTTAAACACAAAGGTGATGGTGTTAGAAGGTGGGGCTTTGGGATGTCATTAGGCCATAGGGCTGTATGCTCATTTGAATGGGATTAATGCTACTATAAAAGAGGAGGAGGGAACTAGCTATCCTCTCTTGTCCTTTTTGTCCTTCCACCAGGTGAGGACACAGGGTTCAAAGTGCCATTTCAGTAGCAACAACCAGACCCTAACCAGCCACCAAAGCTGCTGCCTCTTTGATCTTGAACATTCCAGCCTCCAGAACACTGAGAAATAAATTTCTATTATTTATAAATTATCCAGTCTGTGGTATTTTGTTACAGAGGCAGGGACAGATTCAGACAAGGTCATTCATGTTTCCTCTTCTCTCTCAAAACACTTTTGAGCCTAGTCTAGCCAGCTAGATAACAAGGGATACATGGCCCAGGTGCCCAGTCCACCACTGTTTTCCCAGCTCCAAACAAGCAAACACCAAGAAGCACAGTTCCCTCCTGACTACAGATTCAAGAGAGAGGCCAGCTGAGATTGGAACAATTAATCTGATGAGCCTAGCCTAAATTGCAGACTCCAATAATTATTACCTAAATGAATGGTCATTGTTTGAAAGCATTCATTTTTCTACTGGTTTGTTACACAGCAATAGGAAACTGACAGTCTACAATGTATTTTAAAAAGAAAAGTTACAAGTTTTTTTATGTCTCCAGAGTAACAAACGTAACATTCTAATATCAGGATGTATGTTGTAGAAAGAGCATGGGAGTTGCAGTCAGGAGAACTAGATTGTAGATCAGGCATTACCACTTACTAACTGTAGAATTTGTCAGATATATATTCCTTTAGAGCTTCAACTTTATAAACCTCTAAAGGATTATATATCTGACAAATCCTACACAGTGAATTAAAGCATCAATCATACACAATGATATAAAGCATTAATACAATGCTTTATATTATTGAGTTTAGTGATAACATATAAGGTCTACTGCTCACTTCTTCCTATTGTAGGCACCCACAAAAATGCTTTTGTCTTAATATCAATTCTCTGTCACACTCACTGGCCTGTGGATTATGAAATGGAGCTTCCGTGTTTCAAAACCAGGAAGGTCATTTTCCCATATCCATTCTTTGTATCTCCTTCATGATTTCTCAGAGTACAGTAACATGCCACAGTTATTGAATTTGTCCATTTTCTTAGACTCTAAGCAAATCATTTTTCTTGACTAAGATGTATGGATTCTTTTATTACATTCTTCTCTCTAGTATTTGGTTTCAGTTTTCTATGACTCAATTTTGTTCTAGTATTTGCAAGATTTTATGATCACTTCTGATAAAGGTAGTAGAAGCAGATTACCAAGGAGTCTAACAACTATTTTACCCGAGAAGCCACTAACAGCTCCCCTTAAACATACAGAACTGGAAGATCCTCCATGTTGTACTTGTCTCCAACTTTTGAGGTCTACCTTGTGGTCTTTAGAGGTAAAAACTTTGAAATATTTCTTTTTATGTATTCAATATGCTTCTCTGTCTTCATCACTTTATATATGTATTACTTTTTTTCTGCTTCTTTGGAGAATTTTCATCTGTTATATCTTCATTGCTTCACTTAGTTTTCACTGATGGCTTCTCCACAGGTCAAAATTATCATATATCTTTGTGGTCTAGGTTATTTTTCCTTCTCTCATATTATTCCATTTCAAATGAAGTCTTACTGATTCAAATTATCTTCCACCTACTAGCATATCTTATTTATTTGTTTTTATTTATTTTTTAATATTTAGGCTCATTTCATCTTCTCTGATAAAAAGTACTAACAATGGAATACTTTGGAAATTTCTAAAGCTTATTAGGATCTTCTTTAAATGGATAAGGCAATAGCCTCAAAAATGTAACAGATTTTATTAAAGTTTATATGGCTTGTAGATGCTAAATAGCAATTTAATTTACCTTTTATAACAGGTGTAGGTTATCTTAGAAGAAGCATTGTTACCACTGATTTCCAACTATACAGGCTACAATCCCTCATATACTTAGCTATTCAGATAGACTAGAATGTAAATAAATGTACTCAAATACTTTGAGAAATCTTGAATGTGTGGGTTAATCTGCCTTCATTATATCTGCATGTAAAGATTACTTCTCATTGAGATTTCAAATTAACATAAAACTTTTGTATCCCTCAGGAATTACTACTTTGACAAACTGCCTGTTTCTTCTCAGGCTTATTTTTTAATACACATAAATTTGAAAATTGAAATTAATACTACTCTTCATGTAATCTCACTCAGTTCCACAATCACATGGCTATTACCAAACACATACAACCAATTATCACCAATTAATGCCAACTGGCAATAAAGTTCAGAATCCAAATAATGCAGAAAAGAGAGAATTGTTAGGAGAATTTTTAAAATAACATTTTCCCTCTACATTTGTATGCATTTTTTTCCTAACTATAAAAATATTAACTTTATTGGTTAGGATCATTAGTGCCTATTTAAGTAAAAGGTTTTGGTTAAAACAGTCAAATCACAGTTAAATACAGCAGGCTAAATAAAGTTAAATTAGAAATTTATACAAAGTCTATATAGCACCCTTTATGTAATGATTACCAGATTTAAATATGTTATTAGGAGGAAAAATTTCAGATTGCAAGATGCTCCCTCCAGATTTTTTCCTCTACTCCCCCTATGCAAAAAAGTAAATAAACCACCAGGGAGTACCTACACTATAAAATTAAATCTGTAAATCTTTATGTTAGGTATCAATGTTCAACATAAAATCTATTCAGAATCATACCTGAGTTAATACTTTTGCCACATATATTGCCTCAATACTAAGAATACTGCATACTGTTGGATTTTTAATTTAGCTAAAGTTTTATAAAGACAAAATATTTTAAACCTAGAAGGCATACTAGGGACCAACAGGTCCAAACCTCTCATACTGTGAATAAAGAAAATAGACACAAAATGTATTAAGTAATTTCCCAAAGGTCACACATACAGTTATGGATAGAACCTAACTTCCTTACATTTAAGTCTATGTTATTTTTAACTTAATTGATTAATTAAAATTAAATTCACAACACATTAAATCTTTTTTCTTTAGTAGTCAAGATAACAGTTTCCAAAAGTTTAAACACTATATATTTGAACTTTTAAGATTCAATATTGTTTGTGACAAATCAAGAATATATTTTACTTATTTTATTTAAGTCCTTATTTGATAAAATCTCTTGAAAGCTCAGTTGAGATATTTTACAGGTGGAAATTATGTTGGTAATTGATTTCATTAATACTTTCAAATACTTATGTTTGGAGAATTATAGGGTATAGTCATGATAGGAAGAATGTGAATCTTTTAAAATGATTTGTTCAGATGGTCAACAGACTACATTTAGTTAGCTCTAACATGTAAGGCAAGCCTTGAGAAATAGGAAAATTATAGGTTTGTGCACCTCGGTCCTCTTTCTGATAGAGAATGAACATAAAAATAATGTTACATATGGTTATTTCTGTGAATACAGTGATAGGCATAGTTTTTGAGATTGGTTATGATATTCAGAAATATTTATAATATTCATCCATATCAAACTTTATAATACTAAGTGATAATATTGATACTGTGTTAATTAAGGCTGGCATAGAAATATTTCTCTGGCCATATTTAGGCTCTGACATCTTTAGGGAGCAATGAAAAGTAGATTTAATCAAGATGAACTTTTTAAAGATGGTATGATGAATTAAGAAAAAAAATCAATAACCCAAGTACCAAGGATATATTGTTCAGATGGTCTCCAACTTACAATACGTCGATTTAGGATTTTTTTTTTAACTTTACCATGGCGTAAAAGCAATACACATTCAGTAAAAACCATACTTTGAGTACCCATACAACCACTTTGGTTTTTACTGTCAGTGGAATACTTAATAAATTACATGGGACTCAAAACTTATTTGTACATATACATCAAATTAAACAGTTTACTATAAAATAGGCTTTGTGTTAGATTATTTTGCCCAAATATAGGCTAATGTAAGTGCTCTGAGCACATTTAAGCTAGACTAGGCTAAGCTATAAAGTTCAGTAGGTTAGGTATATTAAATTCATTTTTGACTTATGATATTTTCCATTTACAGTGAGTTGATGAGGACATAATGATAAGTCAAGGAGCATCTGCAGTTGGAGAAATGTTATCCTGTATTTGAAAGAATAGAATGTATGCTTGGAAAATTGAAAAAGCTCACTACATTTTGAAAATCAAATGCAGCTTCAGTAATTAGTACAGAAAATGAGAGGCAAGTGCTTTTTGCTGAATTATTCATTTTTCCCTCATAAGTACACTGGTACTAAATATGCACTGGTACAACCAGTGAATAATTATCTCACTAAAATTGAGACCAGCAATCCCGAGAGGACCCACAGACCCTCCTGCTCCTGCTCCTGCAGGACCCAGTAGACCTCCCCCACTGAAACTGTGAGTATCCCAACTGCGGAAGTGGAAAAGGGAGACCCTCCCCTCCCAAACACACACCCCCAGTGGAGACGCTGAAGGTCTGTTTGAGGGAGAAGTTTCCGACTTTACCAGGAGCTGAGTCAATTTAGAGAGCCAAGTGAAATACACAGGTAGGAGAAACAGCAGAAAGGCTCTGGGAGCTCGCTGGGTCCCCAAGCAGCCCATTCCTGCCTGGCACCACAGGGATCCAACCAGAGAGGAGCAGGGGGTAAAACTACACAGGAAGATGCAAATCTCTAGCTGAACTTTGTAACAATTTGAACCAAGTGAGAAGCCTCTGGGCTAGAACTCAGGGCAGGGTGCAAATCCAACCCTTTCCTTTCACAGCTGGGAGGTGGATAGCCTAGGGCAGGTTTCAAGCCCTTATTGCTTGGAAACGGTCTGGGGCTGTTGTCAGGGACACTGAGGGAGACAGACCAGCCCTTTGGTTTGCATGGATGCTGGGTGAGGCCAGTGACTGCTGGCTTTCCCCCACTTCCCTGACAACCTGCATGACTCAGCAGAGGCAGCATTAGTCCTCCTAGGTACACACCTCCAGTGACGTGGGAATTTCAACCCCATGCCCCACAGCAGCTGCAGCAAGACCTGCCCAAGGGGAGTCTGAGCTCAGACACTCCTAGCCCCACTCCCACCTGATGGTCCTTCCCTACCCACCCTGGTAGTAGAAGACAAAGGACATATAATCTTGGGAGTTCTAGGGCCCTGCCCACCACCGGCTCCTCACCATAATACCACAGCTGATGCTTTCTGGAAAGCGCCACCTCCTGGCAGGAGGTCAAATAGCACAAAAGTAGAACATTAAACCACCAAAGTTAAGAACCCTCAGAGTCCATTGCACCCCCCACCACCTCCACCCTCCACCACCTCCACTCAGTCATGGTATCCATGACTGAGAGACCTATAGATGGTTCACCAGAGCCAGGTAGATTCACTGGGTGGCTAGACCCAAAAGAGAGACAACAAGCACTGCAGTTCAGCTCACAAGAAGCCATATCCATAGGGAAAGAGAGAGAGTACTACATAAAGAGAACACCCTGTGAGACAAAAGAATCTGAATAACAGCCTTCAGACCTAGACCTTCCCTCTGTCAGAGCCTACCCAAATGAGAAGGAACCAGAAAACCAACCCTGGTAATATGACAAAACAAGGCTCTTCAACACCCCCCAAAATATCACACTAGTTCACCAGCAATGAATCCAAACCAAGAAGAAATTCCTGATTTACCTGAAAAAGAATTCAGGAGGTTAGTTATTAAGCTAATCAGGGAGGGACCAAAGAAATAATTCAGGAGGACAGTTATTAAGCTAATTAGGTAGAGACCTTTCCAATGCAAGGAAATCCAAAAAATTATACAAGAAGTGAAGGGAGAAATAGTCAAGGAAATAGATAGCTTAAAGAAAAACAATCAAAAATTCAGGAAACTTTGGCCACACTTTTAGCAATGCAAAATGCTCTAGAAAGTCTCAGCAATAGAATTTAACAAGTAGAAGAAAAAATGCAGCGCTCAAAGACAAGGTCTTCAAATTAACCCAATTCAACAAAGACAAGGTAAAAATAATAAGAAAATATGAACAAAGCCTCCAGGAAGTCTGGGATTATGTTAAACAATCCAACCTAAGAATATCAGTATTCCTCAGACAGAAGAGGATTCTAAAGCTTGGAAAACATATTTGGAAGAATAACCGAGGAAAACCTCCCCAGTCTTGCTATAGACCTAGACATCCAAATACAAGAAGCACAAAGAACACCCTGGAAATTCATCACAAGAAGATCTTTGCCTAGGCACGTTGTCATCAGGTTATCCGAAGTTAAAATGAAGGAAAGAATCTTAAAAGCTGTGAGACAGAAGCACCAGGTAACCTATAAAGGAAAACCTATCAGATTAACAGCAGATTTCTCAACAGAAACCTTACAAGCTAGAAGAGATTGGGGCCCTATCTTTAGCCTCCTCAAACAAAACACTTATCAACCAAGAATTTTGTATTCAGCAAAACTAAGCATTATATATGAAGGAAAGATATAGTCTTTTACAGACAAACAAATGCTGAGAGAATTAGCCATTACCAAGCCACCACTAGAAGAACTGCTAAGAGGAGCTTTAAATCTAGAAATAGATCCTGTAAACACATCAAAACAGAACCTCTTTAAAGCATAAATCACATAGGACATATAAAACAAAAATACAAACAAAAAACAAAAGCCCAGACAAAAAACAAAACAAAACAAAAATAAAGTACACAGGCAACAAAGAGCACCATGAATGGAATGGTACCTCACATTTCACTATGAACATTGAATGTAAATGGCCTAAATGCTCCATTTAAAAGATACAGATCCACAGAATGGATAAGACTTCACCAACCAATTATCTGCTGCCTTCAGGAGACTTGCCTAGCACATAAGGACTCACATAAACTTAAAATAAAGGGGAGGAAAAAAGCATTTCATGCATATGTACACTAAAATGATTAGGGGTACCTATTCTTATGTCAGACAAAACAAACTTTAAAGCAACAGCAGTTAAAAGAGACAAAGAGGGACGTTATAATGATAAAAGGCCTTGTCCAACAGGAAAATATCAGAGTTCTAAACATATATGCACCTCACAGTGGAGCTCCTAAGTGAAACGATTACTAATAGACCTAAGAAATGAGATAGACGGCAATACAATAATAGTGGGGGACTTTGATACTCCACTGACAGCACTAGACAGGTCATCAAAACAGAAAGTCAACAAAGAACAATGGATTTAAACTATACTTTGGAAAAAATGGACTTAACAGTTCTATATGGAACATTTCATCCAACAACTGCAGAATATACATTCTATTAAACAGCACATGGAACTTTCTCCAAGCTAGACCATATGATAAGCTATAAAATGAGCCTCAATAAATTTAAGAAAATTGAAATTATATCAAGCACTCTCTCAAACCACAGTGGAATAAAACCAAAATTAAAGGGAACCTTGAAAACCATGCAAATACATGGAAATTAAATAACATACTCCTCAATAAGCATTGGGTCAAAAATGAAATCAAGATGGAAATTAAAAAATTCTTCAGACTGAATGACAATAATGACACAACCTATTAAAACCTCTGGGATACAGCAAAGGCAGTGCTAAGAGGAAGGTTCATAGCCCTAAACACCTACATCAAAAAGGCTGAAAGAGCACAAACAGACAATCTAAGGTCACACCTCCAGTAACAAGAGAAACAAGAACAAAGGAAACCCAAACCCAGCAGAAGAAAGGAAATAACCAAGATCAGATCAGAACTAAATAAAATTGAAACCCAGCAGAAGAAAGAAAATAACCAAGATCAGAACAGAATTAAATGAAATTGAAACAAAAACTATACAAAACATAAATGAAACAAAAAGCTGGTTCTTTGAAAAGGAAAATAAAACTGATAGACTATTGGCAAGATTAACCAAGAAAAGAAGAGAGAAAATCCAAATATTCTCACTAAGAAATGAAACAAGAGATATTCCAACTGACACCACCAAAATACAAAAGGTCATTCGGGGCTTCTATGACCACCTTTATGCACATAAACTAGAAAACCTAAAAGAGATGGATAAATTCCTGGAAAAATACAACCCTCCTAGCTTAAATTAGGAAGAATTAGATACCCCGAACAGACCAATAACAAGCAGCGAGACTGAAATGGTAAATGTCCAGGACCAGACGGATTCACAGCAGAATTCCACCAGACATTCAAAGAATTAGTACCAATCCTTTTGACACTAACCCACAATATAGAGAAAGAAGGAACCCTCCCTACTTCATCTGATGAAGCCAGCATCACCCTCATACCAAAACCAGGAAAGGACATAACCAAAAAATAAAACTACAGACTGATATCCTTGATGAACATAGATGCTAAAATCCTTAACAAAATATTTGCTAACTGAATCCAACAACATGACAAAAAGATAATACACCATGATCCAGTGGGTTTCATACCAGGGATGCAGGGGATGGTTTAACATACGCAAGTCAATAAATGTGATATAACAAATGAACAATCAAAAATCACATGATTGTCTCAATAGATGCAGAAAAAGCATCTGACAAAATCCAGCATCACTTTATGATGAAAACTCTCAGCAAATTGGCATACAAGGGACATACCTTAATGTAATAAAGCTGTCTGTGACAAACCCACTCTCACCACTCCTCTTCAACATAGCAGTGGAAGTCCTAGCCAGAATAATCAGACAAGAGAAGAAAGAAAAGGAAAGGAGAAAGAAAAGGAGAGGAAAGGAATCCAAATCGGTAAAGAGGAAGTCAAACTGTCTCTGTTTGTTGATGATATGATTGTTTACTTTAAAAACCCTAAAGACTCCTCCAGAAAGCTCCTAGAACTGATAAAAAGAGTTCGGCAAAATTTTCGGATACAAGATTAATGTACACAGATCAGTAGGTCTTCTATACACCAACAGCAACCAAGCGGAGAATTGAATCAAGAACTCAACCCCGTTTACAATAGCTGAAGAAAAAAAAACCCAAAAAACTTAAGAATATACCTAACCAAGGAGGCAAAAGACCTCTACAAGGAAGACTAAAAACCCTCGTGAAATAACTCGTAGATGACACAAACAAATAGAAACACATCTCATGCTCATGGATGGATAGAATCAATATTGTGAAAATGACCATACTGCCAAAGCAATCTACAAATTCAATGCAATCACCATCAAAATACCACCATCATTCTTCACAGAACTAGAAAAAACAGTTCTAAAATTCATATGGAACCAAAAAAGAGCCTGCATTGTCAAAGAAAGACTAAGTAAAAAGAACAAATCTGGAGGCATCACACTACCTGATTTCAAACTATACTATGAGGCCAAAGTCACCAAAACAGGCAGGTACTAGTACAAAAATAGGTACATAGACCAATCGAACAGAATAGAGAACCCAGAAATTAACCCAAATAATTACAGCCAACTGATCTTCGACAAAGCAAACGAAAACATAAAGTGGGGAAAGGACACCCTTTTCAACAAATGGTGCTGGGACAATCGGCTAGCCACATGTAGGAGAATGAAACTGCATCCTCATGTCTCACCTTATACAAAAATAAACTCAAGATGGATTACAAATTTAAACTAATACCTGAAGCTATTAAAAATTCTAGAAGATAACTTTGGAAATACCTTTCTAGACATTAGCTTAGGCAAGGATTTCATGACCAAGAACCCAAAAGCAAATGCAATAAAAACAAAGATAAATAGCTGGGACCTAATTAAACTAAAGAGCTTTTGCACGGCAAAAGGAACAGTCAGCAGAGTAAACAGACAACCACAGAGTGAGAGAAAATCTTCAAAATCTATATATCTGACAAAGGACTAATATCCAGAATCTACAACAAACTCAGACAAATCAGTAAGAAAAAAATCGAACGATCCTATCAAAAAGTGGGCTAAGGACATGAATAGACAGTTCTCAAAAGAAGATATACAAATGGCCAACAAACATATGAAAAAGGGCTCAATATCACTAATGCTCAGGGCAATGCAAATCAGAACCACAGTGTGATACCACCTCACTCTGTAAGAATAGCCATGATCAAAAAATAAACAGTAGATGCTGAGGTGGATGTGGTGAACAGGGAACACTTCTACACTGCTGTGAGAATGTAAACTAGTACAGCCACTATGGAAAACAGTGGGGAGATTCCTTAAAGAACTAAAAGTAGAATTACCATTTGATCCAGCAATCCCACTACTGGGTATCTACCCAGAGGAAAAGAAGTCATTATTTGTAAAAGATACTTGCACAAGCATGTTTATAGCAGCACAATTCACAATTACAAAATTGTGGAACCAACCTAAATGCTCATCAATCAACAAGTGGATAAAGAAACTGTGACATATATATATCTCACATCATATACTACTCAGCCACAAAAAGGAATGAATTAACAGCATTTGCAGTGACCTGGATGAGATTGGAGACTATTATTCTAAGTGAAGTAACTTAGGAATAGAAAACCAAACATCTTGTGTTCTCACTTACATGTGGGAGCTAAGCTATGAGGATGCAAAGGCATAAGAATGATGCAGTGGACATTGGGGATTTAGGGGGAAGAGTGTGATGGTGGTGAGGGATAGAAGACTACAAATATGGTGCAGTGTATACTGCTAGGGTGATGGGTGCACAAAAATCTTACAAATCACTACTAAAGAACTTACCCATGCCATCAAAGAACACCTGTACCCCAATAACTTATGGAAAAATAAATAAATATTAAATAAAATTGAAATTATTTTAATATGATATATGAATTAGTATAATTGAAATATAAAATAGATACGTTTATTCAGTGCAATTGTTGTCATAGGAACAACCAAGAAGACTTACATAATTAATGCATACTTTGCCTGTGAATGAATAATTTGTACAGAATTTATTTCAATATGTATTTCATTAATATATCAGAAAAAATCAATGGAAAACTAAGAGCAGGCTATTTAGTTTTTTCTTGAGGATTTGACCTTGTACTTATTAAATGAAAAAATCAAATTCTTCTATACCAACAAGAACTACAAATGTCTTCCAGTATTGATCTTCAGCAATTATAATTTTTAAACAGTAAACGGATACATATCAAATATTTATACAGATGCCAGAAGGAGAAAAGGCAGGAGTTTTTTTTTTTTCTCCACACACTCTACAAAAACTTAGCAGTTTACATCTTAAGCCAATAGCCCTGTATTTTCTATACATAAAGATTTATTTAGAAACTTGAATAAGAATGCCACCATTATATTCATACCTAATCAGTGTTGATCATAAATAAATTATTTTTGTAATCTAATTTATAGGCATGTGTTGGAGATATTGTGGGTCCAATACCAAAATAAAGCAAATATTGCAATAAAATGAGTGACAACAAATTTTTTGTTTTCTCATGCATATAAAAGTTATCTTTATACTATAGTCTATTGAGTGTGCAAAAGGATTCTGTCTTAAAAACAATCTATATACCTTAATTAAATATATTTTATTGCAAAAAATCCTAACGATCATCTGAGCCTTCAGGAAGTCCTAATTTTTTGCTGATAAAGGGTCTTTGATGTTGATGGCTGCTGACTAATCAGGGTGGTGGCTGCTGAAGATTAGGATGGCTGTGGCAAATTCTTAAAATAAGACAACAATGAAGTTTACTTCAGTGACTGACTCTGCCTTTCATGAAAGATTTCTCTGCAGTATGAGTGTGAGAAGCTATTTGATAGCATTTCAGCCACAGTAGAATTTCTTTCAAAGTTGGAGTCAATTTTCTCAAATCCTGCTACGGCTTTATTAGCTAAGTTAATGCAATGTTCTAAATCCTTTGTTGTCTTTTCAACAATGTTCATGGCATCTTCACCAGTAGTAGATTCCATCTCAAAAAACCACTTTGCTTATCCATAAGAAGGTACTTGTCATCCATTCAACTTTTACCACGAGATTGAAGCAATTCAGCTAAATTCTCAGGGTCTACTTCTAAATCTATTTCTCTTGCTATTTCTGCCACATCTGCAGTTACTTTGTCAACTGAAGTCTTAAACCCCTCAAAGTCATCCATGAGGGTGGGAATAAACTTCTAAACTCCTGTTAATATCGATATGTTGACCATCTACCATCAATCCCAAATGTTTTCAATGACATCTAGAATGGTGAATCATTTCTAATTTACTTTGCCCAAATCCATGAGAGGAACCACTATCTATGGCAGCTATACCCTGATGAAATGCATTTCTTAAAGAATAAGACTTGCAAGTCAAAGATCAGATGGTTGTAGATATGCGGCATTATTTCTGAGGGCTCTGTTCTGTTCTGTTCCATTGATCTGTATCTCTGTTTGGGTACCAGTACCATGCTGTTTTGGTTATTGTAGCCTTGTAGTATAGTTTGAAGTCAGGTAGCGTGATGCCTCTGGCTTTGTTCTTTTGGCTTAGGATTGACTTGGCGATGCAGGCTCTCTTTTGGTTCCATATGAACTTTAAAGTAGTTTTTTCCAATTCTGTGAAGAAAGTCGTTGGTAGCTTGATGGGGATGGCATTGAATCTATAAATTACCTTGGACAGTATGGCCATTTTCACGATATTGATTCTTCCTACCCATGAGCATGGAATGTTCTTCCATTTGTTTGTATCCTCTTTTATTTCATTGAGCAGTGGTTTGTAGTTCTCCTTGAAGAGGTCCTTCACATCCCTTGTAAGTTGGATTCCTAGGTATTTTATTCTCTTTGAAGCAATTGTGACTGGGAGTTCACTCATGATTTGGCTGTCTGTTATTGGTGTATAAGAGTGCTTGTGATTTTTGCACGTTGATTTTGTATCCTGAGACTTTGCTGAAGTTGCTTATCAGCTTAAGGAGATTTTGGGCTGAGACAGTGGGGTTTTCTAGATATACAATCATGTCATCTGCAAACAGGGACAATTTGACTTCCTCTTTTCCTAATTGAATACCCTTTATTTCCTTCTGCTGCCTGATTGTCCTGGCCAGAACTTCCAACACTGTGTTGAATAGGAGTGGTGAGAGAGGGCATCCCTGTCTTGTGCCAGTTTTCAAAGGGAATGCTTCCAGTTTTTGCCCATTCAGTATGACATTGGCTGTGGGTTTGTCATAGATCGCTCTTATTATTTTGAGATACGTCCCATCAATACCTAGTTTATTGAGAGTTTTTAGCATGAAGCGTTGTTGAATTTTGTCAAAGGCCTTTTCTGCATCTATTGAGATAATCATGTGGTTTTTGTCTTTGGTTCTGTTTATATGCTGGATTACATTTATTGATTTTTTGTATGTTGAACCAGCCTTGCATCCCAGGGATGAAGCCCACTTGATCATGGTGGATAAGCTTTTTGATGTGCTGCTGGATTCGGTTTGCCAGTATTTTATTGAGGATTTTTGCATCAATGTTCATCAAGGATATTGGTCTAAAATTCTCTTTTTTTGTTGTGTCTCTGCCAGGCTTTGGTATCAGGATGATGCTGGCCTCATAAAATGAGTTAGGGTGGATTCCCTCTTTTTCTATTGATTGGAATAGTTTCAGAAGGAATGGTACCAGCTCCTCCTTGTACCTCTGGTAGAATTCGGCTGTGAATCCATCTGGTGCTGGACTTTTTTTGGTTGGTAAGCTATTGATTATTTCCACAATTTCAGATCCTGTTATTGGTCTATTCAGAGATTCAACTTCTTCCTGGTTTAGTCTTGGGAGGGTGTATGTGTCGAGGAATTTATCCATTTCTTCTAGATTTTCTAGTTTATTTGCGTAGAGGTGTTTGTGCTAGCTTTATCGCTTATTATCACAATGACACTGAGTAAGCCACTTAAGTTCTCAGAAAATTGCTATGATGTGTAAAATGGACATAATTTATACCTGCCCCAACCTATTTCCCTGGATTGTTATTAAGAATAAAATGATAATGGATGCAAAAGACTTTTGCAAATTATGAAATATTATACAGATGGGATATATTGTATTACATTTACTTATATATTAGACATACTGATACATTTTAAATGATTCCAGTTCATCCTTTTTTTGAATTTCAGTTAAATACACATTCTAACATCTCGCTCAGGAAAAAGACTATTGTTTTCTTTGATAATAAACTGAAATATGTAACCAAAAAAAAAAAAAAAGGCTTGCAAGTCAAAATGACTCCTTAAATCCATGGACTGCAGAATGAATGTTATACTAGCAGGCATGAAAACAGCATTAACTTCCTTGTACAGCTCTATCAGAACTCTTGGGTGACTAAAGGCATTTCGGTGAGTAGTAATATTTTGAAAGAAGTATTTTTTTTTTCTGAGTAGTAGGTTTAAATAGTGGGCTTAAAATATGAAGTAAACCGTGCTGTAAACAGATGTGCTTTTATCTAGGCATTCTTGTTTCATTTATGGAACACAGGCAGAGTAGATTTAGCATAATTCTTCAGGACCCTTGAATTTTATAGTAGGAATGGTAAATGAACATTGGCTTCAACTTAGTCACCAGTTGCATTAGCCCTAATGAGAGAGTCATCCTGTCCTTTGAAGCTTTGAATCAAGGCATGGTCTTTTCCTTTCTAGCTATGAAAGTGCTAGATAGCATCTCCTTCCAATAGAAGGCTATTTTGTCTACACTGAAAGCCGGTTGTTTAATGTACCCAGTTTCATCAATTATCTTAACTAGATCTATGGATAATTTGATGCAGTGTCTAGATCAGCACTTGCTGCTTCACCTTGCACTTCTATGTTATGGAGATGGCTTCTTTCTTTAAAGCTCCTGAACCAACCTCCGCTGTCTTTCAACTTTTCTCCTGAAGCTTCTTCACCTCTCTCAGTCTTTATAACACTGAAGAGTTAGGGCCTTGCTCTAGATTAAACTTTGGCTTAAGGAAATGCTGTGGCTGTTTTGATCCTGTATCCAGACCGCTCCAATGTTCTCTGTATCTCTGTTTGGCTTTGTTATCATTCGTCAACAGAGTAGCACTTTTTAAATTTCTTTCAATAACTTTTCCTTTGCATTCACAACTTGGCTGTGTGGTGCAAGAGGCCTAGTTTCCAGCATATTTCATCTTTCCACTTGCTTCCTTACTAAGCTTAATCATTTCTAGCTTTTGATTTAAAGTGAGAAACATGAGACTCTTCCTTTCACTTAAAAACTTGGAGGCTATTTTAGGATTATTGATTAGCCTAATGTCAATATTATTGTGGCTTAGGGTATATATGTGGCCTAAAGAGAGGGAGAGAAATGGGGAACAGCCAGTCAGTGGAGCAGTGAGAACACACACAATATTTATCAATGAAGTTCAATGTCTTATATGGGACAGTCCCTGGCACCCAAAGCAATTACAATGGTAACATCAAGGATCACTGATCACAGATCACCATAACATATAATAATGATGGTAATACTAATATTTGAAATATTGCAGTAATCATGGAAATGTGGCACAAAGACAAGACATGAACACATGCTGTTTTAAAAAATGGTGCTGATAAACTTGCCTGATGTAGGGTTGCCACAAATCTTCTATTAGTAAAAATCACTATATATATATGAATGCAATAAAGTGAAGTATAAAAAAAATGAGGTGTGGCTGTATTCACATCAAATTACAGAAGCTACCTATGTCCTGAAGTGGAAATGAGCCATTGAGTGAAGGTTAAAAATGCCTGAGTCTTACTAATGCAAGAAAAATTTAAGTGGAAGAGAGCAAAGTATGAATATATGTACACACATGCTCCTAGTCTTAGTTTTAAGTATCCACATATAAAGTTGATGTGTTTCTAGAAGGAATTTTGTATTCTTTTGAAAACTCTTTAATATTTTTGTTCATTTGTTCCTCTTAGTATTTTATTGTTTAAAATGTTTAATGAGAGGTATATTTATCTATTTGCCTTATCCATTTTAAGTTATTAGAATGCTATTCTTCATATAGATAATGTATATGGAAATATTTGAAGGAAATGGAGCCATTTTAAAGACCAAATTGTTAATAGAATGCTGCTTTTAGATCTCTTGTTCAGAAAAAGAAAAAAAATACTCATTTTTTTTCTGCCTTCCTTTTTGTCTTTCCTTGCTTTTCGTCTTACTTGCTTTGAATAAATACATTAGGATTTTGATATATGTTAGAAGCATATGAGGCCCTCTTCATCTTCAGTTAATGCTACCAATAGTCACAAGCAAAAATGGTGGGTTTAATTCCATACATATATTTGAATTCTTTCAATTCTTGGGAAATTCCTTCAGCAAAATACACTGTTTTTCTGCTCTCTCTGGGCTTTAGGTGAGCCTGGTCACAAAAACAGTTCTGAAAAATACCTTGAACCTTCTTGAAATGAGTGTCTGGGAAGCATCTTCTCTCTTTTCTACCTTTTCATTGTTAGAAATTAGTAGTAATTAGCATCAGTTAGGCGAGGAGCTCAACCTTCAGCAGTCAGTTGCACAGATATCAACATTATGACAGCATTTTAAAACATTCTATTTTCATCTTCTTCTTTCCTTCATTGGTCTGTTTCCTCTGATTTCCTGATTATATTGGGGACTTTTGCCTGGAAACCAAGTTTTTGACCCTAAGAAATATATAATATTAAAAACCTTTTATGCTTTTTCATGAAAGAATGGAATGTGTTGTCAGGAAAATTAATTATTGTGTATATCTCTAGGGAGCTTAGTAATGCCTTTTATCAGTTCAAATAATTATAAAATTCAGAAATAACCTGTGATGTTATCTTTCTGCCTCTTGAGAGTTCAGTATAAATGTGCTCCCTCTGGCTGCTCCTACAATAGCAGCAAAAGTGGTTGTTTTGATGTTATTGTGTCTCCTACCAAATTATCATAATTCTTCTTGTTTGAGTAGCATATATTTTATCTTAACAAACCTCAACATAGTATTTCAGTGAAATATTTTCCATGTATAGAGAGTCAACACTAAGTCTGTTGGTAAGCAGCTTCTGAATACAGTTATACTTTCTCTAATGGTAAAATATCCAGGGATAATAGGTAAGAGAGTTGGAAGATGTTCAAGGCAATGAAAATACCTTCACAGATGGTACTGCAGAATGGAAATATGAAAAAGGAAGGTGTTTGGCTTCAAAGACCTAGAGTCTCTTGTTTTTCTTTTTTTCCTGCCTGTCTAAGCTCAGAATGAAGGTATGTGACTGTCCTCTGTGTTGAATTTTTTATTTTTATTTTACCTGAAGTTCTGGGATAAATGTGCAGAACGTGCAGGTTTGTTACACAGGTATACATGTTCCATGGTTGTTTGATGCACCTATCAACCTGTCATCTAGGGTTTAAGCCCTGCATGCATTAGGTATTTGTTGTAGCGCTCTCCCTCCCCTGGCACCCCACCTCTGCACAGGCCCTGGTGTGTGATGTTCCCCTCTGTGTCCATGTGTTATCATTAATCAGCTCCCACTTATGAGTGAGAATATGTGGTGTTTGGTTTTCTGTTCCTGTGTTAGTTTGCTGAGGATGATGGCTTCCAGTTTTGTCCGTTTCCCTGCAAAGGACATGATGTCATTCTTTTTTATGTCTGCACAGTATTTCATAGTGTATTTGTGCCACATTTTCTTTATCCAGTCTATCATTGATGGGCATTTGGGTGGGTTCCTTGTCTTTGCTATTGTAAATAGTGCTGTAGTAAATATACATGTGCAGGTGTCTTTATAATAGAATGACTTATGTTTTTTGGGTATATACCCAGTAATGGGATTGCTGGGTCAAGTGGTATTTCTGGTTCTAGATCTTTGAGGAATCACCACACTGTCTTCCACAATGGTTGAACTAATTTACATTCCCACCAACAGTGTAAAAGTGTTCCTATTTCTCCACAGCCTCACCAGCAGATATGCAAAGCATATGAACAGACAGTTCTCAAAAGAAGACATTTATGCGGCCAACAAATATATGAAAAAAGTCATCACTGATCATTAGAGGAATGCACATCAAAACCAAAATGAGTTACTATCTCATGCCAGTCAGAACGATGATTATTAAAAAGTCAAGAAACAGTAGATCCTGCTGTGTTGAAATTTCTAAGAGAGAATTGATATTTTATCTCTTACAAAATTCAGAACTAATTTAGGAGTAGATGTATAATTCAGGCACACCTTTATTAGTAATACAAAGATTGAAGAGTATTACTTTATATGTGTGAACAATATAGCTTACCGATCATTCACCTCAGAAGAAAAGATTTACCTACCCAGTTACTGACTATCCTGGACAATTCCAGCCCTCCTGCCCCATTCTTCATGGAGCAGAACCCACTCCCCTAAACTTATACCTTATAGCTGAATAGAATATGCCTTCACTGAAAGCAGACAGGTTAAAATGATGAAAATAATAAATAATAACTATGACAGTGATGGTGATGATGTTGAGGAGAAGGGTGCACTAGAAGAGGAGGAAGAGAGAGAGATTAAAAGAAAGGAAGGGACTGAGCACCTTTTTCTCAAACCCTCCATTTACAAACATATCCATATAGATGTCACTTTCTCTCACTTGGAAAGGAGTTGGAAGGAGAGTGGAAAGATTCCAAGAAAGTTAATCTAGTGGAAGTCTTTCATCTGTAAATGTGAGGTCAGGGAGAAAGGAAATGGCCATCCAGCCTTCTGGATTAGTCTATTTATAATTATATCACATAACCAATAGATAGTAAACTGAATTATTACAGCTCATGAAAATTTCCCTAGGTATTCTCAGGGGATTTCATATTGAAATAGAATGTATAGTTCTATACCAGTATATTAAGATCATAACAAATTACAAAATCTGAATTTAAAATTTCATAATCATACCGTAAAAAAAGACAGAAAATTTTTCTCAAATTTATCAAGTGATAAAATGGAGCTATCCTCTAGGGTCAAATAAAATCACATAAGAAGATAGTGCCTTGTACAGTTGCTCATTACTTTCCAAAATTTAATCTTCAGCTTTGCAGATGCACAAAGTAATTAAAATTTTGATATCCCCAAAGTAGTTACCCTCTTAGGAACTGCATCTTTGTGGCCAAATTTACAAGAGACTGGTATGTAAACAATCCCAGATCTAAGAGAAATCGTATATCTACAAAGCATTTTGGAATATTAGTAGTCACCGATTATTGGTGGGATGCTTTTTTTTTCAATTTCCTCATTTAAAGAAATGATCCCATTTCATGAATTCTTTGTAAGAAGATTATGTATTTAAACATTTACTTTGTTACCTAGTTTATAGCAATTAACTCATTATATGTTAATTACTATTTAGAGCTACTTAACATTTATTAACCAATTAATATATGACAAACAGAGCTTTAGATATATTTATTCATTCAATCCCCACAACAGTCCTGAGACACTAATGGTATTACTGGTCTCGATTATGTATGCAGGAATTAAATCACAAGTTTAATATCCCAGAGTCACACATTTGGTATATCGTATCTAGATTCAACTACACTCAGGCATCTGATTTCACCAGTCAATGTAAATAGCAAAATTAGAATTATATGCCGAATATATGATTCAAAAAAGGGGAGTGAAATAATCTTTAAGACTCTGGATTATTATTTTTTAAGCCCTTAACACATTTTATACCAATTTACTGCATCTAACATAAATCTATCAAGATTGGATACTTCTATTCACTGGTATGGCATCCTCTCCCCATGCCACCAGAGTCAAGATACAATAACTAATTATTAACTGATTTCTTAGTTTCTTTAAAAAATATGTTTTTTTTTTACTAATCTAGTGTCTATTCAGGTAATATGCAAAACAATTGATTACATTTAGCTTACTTATTTAAAAGCACATTATAATTTTCCAGTAGATATATTTAATCAATGTATTGGGAGTTTGAGAAGAAGGAACAACTACTCAGTATAACATATATCTCTCTCTCTATATATAGATATATATTTCTGAATATGAATTTTATTCGGTAAGTTAGAATTTAACTTAAATCTGAGCTGAAATAATAATATTTTAAAATTTTTTTGAGAGTTGCAACTTTTATTTTTATGTATAATTGCTTTATGTCAGCTAAAATTTAATAAAGACTAGATACTTAATATAAATAATCATAAGATAATAAAGAATTATATGACTCATAATTCAGATCATCTCTCCTAAAATTTTAGCTCTACCACTTGACTAATTAGTTTGATTAAAGTACTTAAAATCGCCAGGTCTGCTTTTCCTACTCTGTAAAACAGCAACTTATTAGTATTATATTAAGAGGGTTATTTCAGGTAATGTATATGTAGATTCTTTATTAGTAAATGTTTGTGTAGATATAATATATATAATAATTATACAAATGATTAAATGGAGAATTTTCCTTGTCTTATAATTCTTAAAATCATAATTTATATATAATTTTCAAAATTTAAGTAGATAATATCCTTTCATTAAAGAAATCCAAAGCATTTATTAAATCTCAAACTATGTATAATAAGGAACATATTCAAGGTAGTTAGACATTTTACACTTTTTATAAGCCAATATTTTTATTTAATTAATCCTAGTTTTAGTCAATAACTGTTTAATGGAGAACAGCCAGTTTAATGAACTACATAAAATTCCTACTTTAAAAACCAGTTTTAATATCTACTCTCTAGAGCTTAGAGTAAGGAAAGGAGAGAAAAATAAATTTATTGATGATAATGATGAGGAGACAAACAACATATGGGTTCTGCTTTGTTCTCTCCTAAATGGAAAAAATAAACATGATTGTTAAAATAAACAAACAAAAAACAAAGACCCTTTTGGGAGAACAGAATTTTATCCCCAATATTTTCTCAATAGCTTTTATAGAAAATAAAGGTACCTGTAATCCTACCTGCATTGCAAATACAACATAATGGTTTGTAGTATTTTAATAATTTTCAGTTATTTATTTTTATTATATATTGCATTATTTTATTTTTTATTAAATTCTATTATGTATTCAGATTTTTAATATGAAAGCTTTATTTTTTCCTATATTTTGGTTATATGTCATTTCTACTGTATCATTCCTAGTTCAGTGTAAAAGGCAGAAATCTTTTAAGCTGAGAAGATTAAATACAGGGAATGTTATACTTAGAAAAATTACTGGGAAGAGTGGCTATGTGGGAGTCAAGTAACTGCAGGCAGCCATAGAAACTAGTGGGGCTAAAACATTCGTCAGCTCCTAACTCCGCTGTTGCTTACATAGCTACACATGAATCTGGTGAGTAGACTTTGGAAAGCTGCAATATCCTCTTGCTATGTGGATCTCCATGTTTTCACCTACCTGTAGAAAAATTGGAGCAGGCAAGAGAAAGAACTTCCCTTTAAAATCTTACATGAATATTCAGTTGCATTATGAAATTCACTTCCAGAACTGTGGCAGCAGAGCCTGGAAAATAGGGCTTTAAGCTTCTAGACTTTACAATACAGTAGAGGAAGGTGATAGGGCAAGTAATCCACAGAAGATGCCACACGTGCTTTCAATATTCTACATGTTATAGAGCTTCAAAGGAAAGCCAGAAATTTCCAATGGAGTAATGTGCATAATTACCTCTGTTAGGGATGTCTTAAAATAAATTACTAGATCTCGAGTTTTAATTCTTTTCTGCAACTTGCATGATTGATATGATTTACCTGTGTGACATATTCCAATAACAGAACTAAAATTATTACTTGATTTAATGCAAAATATCTGCTTTCCTTTGTTTTTGTTTTTCACTGAGGACAGTATGTCAGAATGTAAGGATGAAGAATATCATTAGCTATTTCATCTTTAATCTGGTTACATCTGTGAAAAAATCATTCATAAATTTAGTAACAGTTGATTATTAACAAAATATTTATACATTTTGACTAATAATAAAATATATCTTACATAACGCAGGACTGATCAATTAGCAAAAAACTCAGGACCAGATGGACTTTTGATACTACTAAACACTGAATTACTATGATTCTCAATGTAGTCTAATATTTTGAAAGTGGTCTCCAAAAGTCATCCTCAAAAGATGGACCAAAGACTATAGGATATTCTTCAAATGTATTCAAAGCTACAAGTTATTTCTTTGTTTCTTATGGCCAAATAGCAAGCCATTTTTTTTTGGCTTCATTCTATATGCATGTAAGAGCTATTTATTATTGACTTACAAAATTTATGTGAGTTACTGTAATCTTCTAATGTGTGGAGGATCTGCTCCTTTTTAGACTCCTGAACTCTGCGCCTTGTAGAGCTCAGATGGCAAGTAACATCTAAAAGCATTATAGGGAAAAGATACACGTAAATATACCATATGTATGGTAAGAGAAATAAGCCAAACACAGAAAGAAAAATGTTGCATATGCTCACTCATATGTGGGAATTGAAATATGTATCTCATGAAGATAAAGAACAGATTGGTAGTTATCAGAAGCCAGAAAGGAAGCGATGAAGAGAAGTTGATTTATGAGTGCAAATATACAGTTTGATAGAAGAAATAAAACCTAGTGTTTAAAAGATCAGTAGAGTAACAATAGTTTACAAGAATTAATCGCATATTTCAAAATAGCTGGAGTGGAAGAATTCAAATGCTTCTGGCATAAGGAAAAAAATGAATAATTAAGTTGACAGATATCCCAAGTACACTGATTTGATCTTTACAAGTTATATAAATATTAAATTATCGCAAGTATCCCAAAACTATATACATCATTATGCATCAATAACTTTTAAAAAAGCTCCAAAATATAGAAACTATCAATTTCCACCTCTCCTGATCCAGATCCATTCTTTCTCATGGAAAAGCAACTTGAGTCATAGTATAAAAACTGAGTAATGTATTTTCAAAAATTAACGTAGAATGATATTTTTGCAAAAAGTTAATTTTAAAATATTCCAAGAAAAAAATGTCTGTGGATAAATAAGTGTGGTATATTCTGATTTGAACAATTTAAGCAAATTTATCGACTGTGGACCACATAAGTCTTTAATATGTTAATAAGAATTATAAACCTCTATGAGGCCCTTATTGTATCTGGCATGTATGTAGCATTTTCCAAATGTGTTTCATCTTGTGACCTCTCTAAAAAATTTCCATCAATATATCAAAAGACTAATACCCAATTAGAAGTAATTTCTGGAAATATTGAAGAAAAATCTCAATGCTTACACCTACCTCTTCTCCTCTTCACTGTCACCTTTCTTATATCCATTAACACACATTCATATATATACACGTTAATTTATGGTCACTGATTAAATTATAAAAGTTTTTTTTTCAGTTAAGTTTTTATACATGTGTTTTCTGCAGTTGTCATCCTCCATCTCTTCCTCTTGCAATCTTTCTGGTCTATATTCAAGAAGATTTTTCATAAATACTTAGTATTGTGGAAACATAAATCTGTTTCTTTTTCTTTCTATGCATCTTGATATCCATCCATATAATTCACATTTTTTGCTTAACTTTAAAATATACAATCTTCCTCATGTAATGATTCCTGGATTAAATGATTTTTACGTCTCTCAGTGGTGATACTAGGTAAGCTAGTGATATTTTCAGCTTCTACATATTTTCTTGCCTGATAAAGTTATAGTATTGATATAAACAACTCCCAGATAACTCTACAAGTTACAAGAAATGATATACCTATATTTCTCCTACAGTTTTCTATAGTGATCCGAGAAGCTTCAAGCTTAGATTTGTCAGTAAAAATGATGTTTTACTTGGCTTTGCTTTTGCAATTTAATTCTGGATTTACTGGTTGCTAAGATAGTTAACATTTGAGATAACCTTTATGTATTGTGAATTCAGATTCTTTTTATCCCTGCTCATTGGTTACCTCAGCTGAAGAGCCCAAGATATTCCATCTGTCATTAAAAATGATCTTGGCTAAGAATCACACTCATAAAGATATAAATTACTGATATATTGTGAAAGGGTCTTACATTGCATTATCTTGCCTAAAAGCCTCACACGACCACCTGTGTCATTTTCCTTGGAATTTTAACAGCGAGGTATTAACAGTGAAACAGCAAAAGAAGTAACATAATAAATTTCATTTTTAAGGGGACTTTACTCATTCCTGACCATTGAAAGGATAATTTTAGAACACTGGGATAGTATGCAAAAACAGCAATCACATAATTTTTGTAACTAACTCTGGGATTAAAGGGGAAGCATGAAAACAATTATGTATTGTTAAAGATTTATAGGAACATTGTGACCTGACCAAGAACAAAGAAGTTCCCAACCTCCTCAGACCCTCGCTTGCCCAGATGTCTGCAGTCCTTGGTCACCTCTTGATACCAACCCTCTACTCTTCCTCATATCCTTTCCCATAAAAACCCTCTGGCTACTTTAGAATGCTAGTTCACCATCTTCCCAGTTTTGCTGGCTTTCTTAATAAACCTGCTTTTTCTACCACTGACCTCATCTCTTGTGTTTGGCTTGCCAGTGGTGAGCAGTTGAACCTGGGCTCAGTTACAGAAGGTTTCAAATCTTAGGAAATAAACTCTAATTTGAAAATTTCAATACATTTCACCATGCGTGCTACAGGTATTTGCAAGTAGAATTTTCATTTCCTTGCATTGCAATACATTTTTTTTTCCGGAGAAATGAAGCTTTCTGAATATTTTAAATGAGTCTAAGAATTATTCATAATTAGCTATGTTTTAAATGCTGCATTAGATTATCAAAGGACCTTTGTTAGATAATTCAGACTCCACTTCATTTTCAGAATGTCTGTGACCTTTAGAATGACTCACTGGGTAGGTACGAATTGATATGTCAATGGGTGGCCTGACCTACCTGACATAACTCTGTTTAAGAAAAAGACATGAAAACACATGCAGATACATCACACACAATTACATAAAAGTAGTGAGTGTACCATATCTTTCAGGCAGAGAGGCATTGCGAAGTGATAAGACTTTTTTTTCTTATTTTACTTTTCTTTATCAGCATCAACTACTTGCCTTTTCCTTTGCTCTATGTGGAACTTGTGCACAATTGAGAACAGAAGTAAGGACAGAGCAGAAGATGAAAAATGAGTACAATACTATTTTAAACAAACAACTTCGTTGAGGTATAATTTACATGCAATTAACTACATAGGTTTAGAATGTACAATATGAAAGTTTTGACCTGTGTATGCAATCTTGATACCATCTCCACAACTGAGATACTAAGTATATTCACCACCCCAGACTTTCCTCATTTCCATTGTAATTCATCTCTCCTGCTTTTTTCCTTGACTTATTTCCAAGAAAACCATTGGTTAGATTCCTATTAGTTTTGTAGAGTTTAATTTCAGTAGAATAATGCAGTATGTACTCCTTTTTTATTTAGCAATAGTTATGTTAATAATATTTCATTGTATTTGTGTATCAATATTTCATTTTTTTGTTGCTGAGTAGTGTTCCACTTAATGGATATACTCACGTGCTTATCCATTCACCTATTGAACAACACTTAAGTATTTTCCAGATTTAGGCTACTGAAAATAAACCTACAAACATTTGATGAAAACGGACAAGTTTATTTTACACTTTTGCTTAGGTAAATCGAAGATATAGAATGGCTAGATCATATGGTAGGTATATGTTTAACCTTTTAATAAAGTGTCAAATTGTTTCCAAGGTATTTGTACAATTTTACATCACTACCAGTAGTGTGAGAAAATTCCAGTTCCTCCACATCCGTGCCATCACCCAGTATATGCAGTGTTATTTTAGCCATTCTAATAGGTGTTTAGTGTTATCTCATTTTAGTTTTAATTTGTATTTCTCTAAAGGCTAACAATGTTGAGCATCCTTCTTTGTGCTTATTCACCATCTGCATATCTTCTTTAATGAAGTGTCTATTCAAAGACTTCGCCCACTTTTAAGCTTGTTATTTACCCAAGTAATTATCATTTCCAATGCTCTTTATTCCTTTAAGTAAATCCATATTTCTATATGGTATCATCTTCCATCTGTCTGAAGGACTTCCGTGAATAGTTCTGGTAGTGAAAGTATGATGGCGATTATTTGTGGTTAGTATGTCTGAAAAGGATTTATTTTGCTTATGTTTTTGAAAGATGTTTTTGCTGAGTATAATATTTTATTTGTGCAGGTTTTGCTTTTTCTTTCATATTTTAAAGATGTTCTGTCTCCTCACTTCTTTGTTTCTGACATAAAATCTACTATCATCTTAATTTTGTTTTTCTGTATGTAATATTTTGTTGTTGTTGTTCTCTGGATACTTTTCTCTTTTTATCAATGGCTCTGAGCAATTTTACTATGACTTGTCCTGTTATAGTTTTCTTTATGTTTCCTGTGCTTGAACTTCTTGAATATAACAGGTTCCTTGATCCCCTTGGTTCGGTAGGTTAATAATTTTAATCATGTTTCAAGATTGCGTGTCATTTCTTCTAATTTTTTTTATCTTCTCCTTTCTCTCCTCTATTATAGGGACCCTAACATACCTACATACATATATATATATATGTATATATGGAAGCTTGAAATTGTCTCCATGTTTACTGATGTTATTCCACTTTTTGAGGTTATTTTCTTTCATTTTGGATATTTTACTGCTACTTCAAGTTCATTGACATTTTCTTTTTGCAATGTCTAATTTGATGTTAACACTATCCAGTTCACTTTTTTTTTTTTTTTTTTTTTTTTTTTTTTAGCTTGGGCATCTCTAGACATTCATTTCAGGCCTTTTTCATATATTCAGTGTCTTTAACTTTTTGAACATATGGAACCTAGTTAAAATATTTGTTTAAATAAACTTGTCTTTAAATTCTAACATCTATGTGAGGTCTGGTTTAGTTTTGATTATTTTTTTCTTCTCATTGTGTTGTATTTTCCTGCACATTTGCAAACTTGGTAATATTTAGCTAGATGGCAAACATTGTTAATTTTAACTTTTTGTTTGCTGGATATTTTTTGTATCTCTATAAATATTGTTGATCTTTGTTCTGGGACACTGTTAAGTTGCTTGGAAATAATTTGTCCTTGTGAACCTTGTTTTGAAGATTTGTTGGGGTTGTTCAGAGGATCTTGTAATATAGGAGTAATTATTCCCCACTCTTGTGGCACAAGCCTTCTATTCTACTAGATAACCCTGAATTATGAGATTTTCAATCTATCTTGTGAGAACAGGTGCTGTTTCTGGTCCTATGTACATTGGGCATTGTTTGCTTGAATCCTCCCATAAGGTTCTTCCTCTGGCCTCTGGAAATTTCCTCACATGCATAGTCTGAATATACTCTGCTGAATATTCAAGCATACCTCAGCAGCTCTCCAGAGCTTTATTTCAGTGCTGCTCTTTTCTCTCCAGTACTCTGTTCAGCAAAATGTAAATACCTTGTTCTCCCCTGATCCTCATCTGAGTCTCCACAGGAAGTCTGCCATACTTCTGGGTTTTCCCATGTTGCACTATGGCCTAGAAACATTCTCAAGGCCATAAGTTGAGACAACCATAGGAATCATCTTGTTTGTTTCTCACACCATAGTAATTATTCTCCTTCATTGCCTGATATGCAATCTCTTGAAAGCCATTGTTTTATGTAATGTGTCTGATGTTTGATTATTTCAGGCAGGAGGGAAATTTAGGCCATGTTACTCCATCTTGGCTACAAACTAAAGTCTGAGTAGATCTTTAAAATTTTAGTTATACATTTATTTCAACTTTTAAAAATTACATATGTTTATGCAATATAATGATTCATTTAGTCCTAAACTTCTACTTTCAATATTTTATTATTTAAATTCCTACATGTCATGCTTATTTTATTATAAGTTATTTCGTACAAGGAAATGGTAGATTTACTAGGATAACAGAAATACATTATACTATAGTTCAAACAGTTCATGGTTTTTTGGGCATATAATTAATACTTATTTTTTCTTAGTATGTTGAAAAATAATTTTTTCATGATAGACTGGTCATGATTGCAACAATGCTGCCATGTATCAAAAAGTTAATATTTACTTATATAGGTTTTACATTCCTGTGGCCACTGAGATACATTATCTCCAGGACTATCAACAAAGTTTTAGCATTCAACTTCAGTAGAACTTATCAAATGAGTCTGGTTTCCTGGTAGTTAAGTCAGAGTTTCTTTTTCTTTCCGAAATGCATCTATTAGGTGTTCTATTGAAAAGGAAGTCAGAATCACCTTGCAAATAGAAAACATTAGAGTTTCTGTACCACGGTAGTATATACTTATAAAGTATTTTATAAACAATATATCATCCTGTTGTAGGGATAGATGAAAAGAATCTGAGTCTTTGTTAAATATTTGATTCTTCATTAGATGTTGTATATTTGTTTGCTCTTGTGGAAAGTACAGATTCTCCCATATACTTTTGTTAAACTTAAATATTTTATGCGCAAAGTAGTGTGAGATCAGTACGTAGGAAGGGTTATGTCGAGTAAATTTGTTCCACTAATTACATGAATATTAAAAACATTTAGGAGAATAGGTCAAGCTTAAAAATCAGTTACATTTCAACTGAATATTACAATGAGGTATAACATAGTAAAACATTTAGTGCCTAACACTTTTTCCATTATGATTTTTTTGTTATTATTACATAGATTTTGCATAGATGAGTGCTGCATGGATATTTTGAAACCCATAGTTACAGTTACAAAGCTATTTGGCAATAGGACAAGCTCTACTATGGGGAAATTGCGTACAAATAAGTTGAAGCATAACTAAGTACTTTTTAACTTTCCTTGGTGGCTTGTGCTTAAACATATATATATACACACATACACACACACACACACATACATATAAACATACATATATATATGTATATATAGTGGGATAACTCATTTTACTATGTAAAACTTTAATTCACATAATCCAGCTCATATTTCTCAAATACTACATTCTGCTTTATAAGTGATACTAAGTAATTGTCTATTATTTATCATTTATTGAATATCAGCATAGTCTAAATATTAAGGAAATGTAAAATTATATACAGTTTTTTCTACTTAGAGATTAGGATTGCCTACAAAGAGTTACTAAGTTGAATGCTAGTTTCACTTCAAAATTAATGAATATAAAGATAAGACATTTGGAGAAAGAAAGAAAAATATTTAGGCCAGAAAATGAATTACTAAAAAAGTTTTCCTGACACTCATAAGTTGGAATCTGATTCATTAGAATTCTTTTCGTTCTGGGATAAATCAGAGAGTAAGATAAGTATTCAAATGATGTTATATGTTCCCATCCTCACCTATTGATCTGGGTCGTCTTGCTAATCAGGATAATATGCTTGACTTTTGCCGTGTGCAGTTTTACAGTTTATCACATTTTGAGAACTATCATATGAAAAGAATGTACTATCTAAAATATTTCTCATCTGATAAGGAGAATTGTAGCTTTTGACTCAACATTTTTCAAGAAAAATAGCAATAAGCACAATAAAAGATGTTACTGCTTTTCACCATAATGAGCGGATATTCTATGTTACTTGTCAATACTGGTGAGTTAAATTTCTCCTTTTAAATAACTGAGGTATCAGTTTAGAGAATAGATTATGTTCGTCTTTTATTATGGAAACTTAACTAATCCTGTACTACAGTGCTTCAAGTAAATACACATGTGATGGTAGATATGGAGTGGTGCATATTTAATCCCATTAGTATTTATTTCTAGTTCATTTCATATAGCAAAAGCAATATATGATAGAAAAAATAATAAAACATAGAACAACCTTAGCTGAATCATGTATGATCAAAGGTCTTTTATTTAAAGTCATGCTCATTATGTTATCACACCTTTGAAATATTTACCAGGTTTTATCTTTCAGTAATTATATCCTGTTGCTTTTAAATATTAAAGAACACTGAAAGAAATGCAAGAGTCTAAGAGTCAAGCATCAAAATTCACTTTATAACAGAGGATTGAATTAATTCTGGTGGAGAAATCAGAAAAACAAAAACAGGAAGTGTGTGATATTTAAAATATGTTGTCAATTAATGACATTGAGTAATATCAGCAATTTTTTCCTGAAGTAAGTTTAAAAAATAGATATATGTCATATATGTTAATTATCAATCTCATACTGCTTTCCAATCTATATAAATTAGCCAGTTTCATCTACAAAGAGAGCAAAAAATTTGGATCTGTCTCAATGAAACCAGTTTTCAGATATAAATCATAAACAAATCACAGTAAAAAATCTTATATTCAACAAAATTAGAAAGTTGTTTCCACTCGATGTATGATTTCTTTATCCCTGATTTATAGGTGTATCTGTCCAGGGTCCAGTCAAGCAAACAGAAATTATACTAGTTCTTTCGATAGAGGGAATTTAATAAAGAAAATTGTTTACATGGGTACTGGAGCATTTAATGAGCAAAAATGAACCTCTGAGGTTACTGCAAGGTAGCATCAGAAAGCAGGTAAACTCCCTTAGGGATGGAGTAAAGAGGAAGATGCTCCTACAGCATCTAAGTAGGAGTCTCCAAAGCTGGAGCTCAGATGTTGGAGGTGAGATGCTTCCAGGCTGGTGTCACCTCTGAAAGACCCTCATAATATTCAGTCTGCATATGCCAGGGCAATTTGGTGTCTAGAAACAATTGCTACCTCCAGGGGAAAATATCATTGCTAGAGTGATGATGAAAAGCAGTATCACCCTAAAACCTTGGCTGGGAGGGGGTCCCTCTAAGTCCTACTCTCAACGCTTGGGCCCAACGTGGGCTGGCAGGAACATCTTGGTCATATTGCAGGAGCCTCATCCAGGACCTCTGAGTTCTGGTCTCTATTTTCCAGTTTGTTCTCTCTGATCGTATACTCTAGGTATAGGCTCAACTGGTTGTCTTATGGTACTAAGAGACTTGAGCCTATGAGTTGCCCTGAGCCTGAGATAGGGGAAGGGCATTCTAGTGAGAAGAGCAGATTCTTCTCACTGGCTGCTGTGGCCTTTCTTTCAAATGATCACATAAGATTATGCTGCCAGGATGGTGCTGATTTGGGCAGTTTCTCACTCAAGTCAGACATAGGGTGACTTCAGGGCTCTAGGCTATCGGAGGTCTGTTGCCAGGCTCTGGGCTTGAGTCACATGTGTGGTTTATGTATCAGACCTTGCCTGTCTTTGTTTTGATCACAGTGCCTTCTCTAGTGGGGGTGGCTACAGGCATTCTTCACCCTGTGCACTCTTCACTTCTGGCATCCAGGGTAGACACCCTAACTCGTCCACAGTCTTCATGCTACATTTTGAGCACTTTCATGAGGCCATGCCTTTCTCTGCAAAGGGCTTTGTCAGTGCTTGACACTGACAAAAATTCATTAAGATTGCTGTTTTCTCTCGCCTGTGGTAAATGGGGTACTGTCCTGTTCTGAGTCAGTCTTGAGCCATGCTGGAGAGGAACAAGTATTCTTTAGCAAAAGGGACTGCTCTTTTCTCTTCCTTTATTTTTTCTATTGTGATCAACGTGTGTGAAGGGGTTTAGTCAACTTTGAAAGAGATCATATTATTGGAATGTGTTGATTATGAACTTTCAAGTTCAACAGAAAAAGTGGTTTGAACATGTGTCATTCCACCTTGACAGTATTGAAATTCTGAAGAGTGAATTAAACATGACTAGAAAATAAATTAGTTTACATGTTTCTGCATGATTTAAGTAACACATGCTTTTGTGCTCATAGTCAATGAAGCATAGTAATAATTTTGAGAGAATCCTTGGAAACTAATATTCTCATGTAGTCCAATAGATGATCCAACATCATGAATAAAGATATAACCAGCACTAAATAAATATTAGAAAACTGTAAAAGCACAAATCTGCTTGTTTCAAGACAAGCAGATTTCAAACAGCTTTGGCGTTCTGAATAATAACAGAGTTGCTAATTTTTATTTTCAGAATGGGATGTAAAAAAGTAGCTAAAAATGGCATATTTGATAATAGAATAGGAGATTTGTGTGTTTCAATTGATGTAAATTTATCTCAAGAAGTACATAATAACAATGGGAATAGTAACTGATTGAGGTGCTGTGGAGTGGAGGGAAGGACAGTTGATATAAAATAATTAATAGGATATTAATATTTATGGAGGGTGTGTAATGGGTGATAGTTGTATTTTACATTTGAATTTTTATGGTGAAATTGCTAAAAGATTAATAATTTAAAAAATAGACAAATACAAAACAATAACATGACAAAAATGCAAATGCACATCATAGCTAAATAATATTTAGGCATGCAAAGATGGCTCTCAATATTTAGAAATCCAGCTGTACAATTCATCGTTTTGTTAGAGGTAATTAGAAAAATAAATTGTGTGATGATGTCCCTTAAATGGATAAAAGCATGGGGTCAGATTCAAGAACACTACCAGAAGTTTGAGGTTGAGAATGATGATTAATATGGTCAAAGAGGACAGTTTTTTTGAGCAGGTATTAGGGTAGAGAAGCATGGTGAGTGGATCTGAAAGGCTAAAAAGAAAGCACTCCGAGAATAAATTTTCTAAAGTTCTCAAATAAAAAATTGATCTGTTTAAACATTATATCTCAAATAAGGTCACATTTAATAACTTGCCTTTCCTTAAGAAATTGTCCGTCTCTCCCATGCTATAGGTTGCCTGCTCAATCTGATGATAGTTTCTTTTGCTATACAGAAGCTCTTCAGTTTAATTAGATCTCATTTGTCAATTTGGCTTTTGTTGCAATTGCTTTTGGCGTTTTTGTCATGAAGTCTTTTTCCATGCCTATGTGCTGAATGGTATTGCATAGGCTTTCTTCTAGGGTTTTTATCGTTTTGGGTTTTACATTAAAGTCTTTAATCAACCTGGAGTTAATTTTCATATAAGGAGCGAGGAAGGGGCCCAGTTTCAGTTTTCTGCGTATGGCTAGCCAGTTTTCCCAACACCATTTTCTGAATAGGAGATCCTTTCCCCATTGCTTGTTTTTGTCAGGTTTGTCAAAGATCAGATGATTGTAGATGTGTGGTGTTATTTCTGAGGTCTCTGTTCTGCTCCATTGGTCTATATGTCTGTTTTGGTACCAGTACCGTGCTGTTTTGGTTACTGTTAGCCTGGCAGTATAGTTTGAAGTCAAGTAGCATGATGTCTCCAGCTTTGTTCTTTCTGCTTAGGATTGTCTTGCATATACGGAGTCTTCTCTGATTCCATATGAAATTTAAAATAGTTTTTTCTAATTATGTGAAGAATGTCAATGGTATGGTGGGAATAGCATTGAATCTATAAGTTACTTTGGGCTGTATGGCCATTTTCACAATATTGATTCTTCCTATCCATGAGGATGGAATGTTTTTCCATTTGTTTGTGTCCTCTCTTATTTCCTTGAGCAGTGGTTTGTAGTTCTCCTTGAAGAGGTCCTTTCACATCTCTTGTTAGCTGTATTCATAGGTATTTTATTCTCTTTGTAGCAGTTGTAAATGGGAGTTCACTCATGATTTGGCTTTCTGCTTGTCTATTGTTGCAGTAAAGGAATGGTTGTCATTTTTACACATTAGTTTTGTATCCTGAGACTTCGCTGAAGTTGCTTATTTGTTCAAGAAGTTTTTGGGCTGATATGAGGGGGTTTTCTAAATATAAAATCATGTCATTTGCAAACAGAGACAGCTTGACTTCCTCTCTTCCTATTTGAATATGCTTTATTTCTTTCTCTTGCCTGATTTCCCTGGCCAGAACTTCCAATACTATGTTGAATAGGAGTGGTGAAATGGGACTTCCTTGCTTGTACCAGTTTTCAAAGGAAAATGGGCAAAGGGTATTAACAGACACTTCTCAAAAGAAGACATTTACATGGCCAATAAACATATGAAAAAAAGCTCAACATCACTGATCATCAGAGAAATGCAAATCAAAATCACAATCAGATACCATCTCATGCCAATCAGAATGGCGATTATTAAAGTCAGGAAACAATAGATGCTGGAGAGGATGTGGAGAAATAGGAACACTTTTACACTGTTAGTGAAAATGTAAATTAGTTCAACCATTGTGGAAGACAGTATGGTGATTCCTTAGGGATCTAGAACTAGAAATACCATTTGACCCAGCAATCCCATTACTGAGTATAAACCCTAAGGAATATAAATAATTCTACTATGAAAACACATGCACACACACGTTTATTGCAGCACTATTTAAAATAGCAAACACATGGAACCAATCCAAATGCCCATCAATGAGAGACTGGATAAAGAAAATGTGGTATATATACACCATGGAACACTATGCAGCCATAAAAAGGAAAAAGATCATGTCCTTTGAAGGGACATGGATGAAGCTGGGAGCCATCATCCTCATCAAACTAACCCAGGAAAAGAAAACCAAACACAACATGTTCTCACTCATAAGTGGGAGTTGAACATTGAGAACACATGGACACAAAGAGAGGAACACCACACACCAGGGCCTGTTGGGGGGTGGGGGGTGAGGTGAGAGAACTTAGAGGATGGGTCAATAGGTGCAGCAAACCACCATGGCACACGTATACCTATGTAAACAACCTGTATGTTCCTCATGTGTATCCTGTTTTAATTTTCTTAGGAGAAATAAAAAAAGAGAAATTGTCCATCTCATCTACATTTTCAAAAATATTTCATTAGAGGTCGGCAAAGTAGTCTCATCATTTAAAAAATAATTATTTTATTTTAATGGCTATTTGCCTCTTATTTCTTATTTCCTATAATTGTACATTCTTCTTGTTCCCTTAGATTTTCTAGTTGTTTTCTATTTTATTGTTTTCAAAAACTGAATAATTTATTAATTGAATCTATGTTCTAATTTATATCTCATAATTTATGATTTTATATTTATTATTTTCTTTATTATATTTTCTTTTTATTTCCTTTATATTTTTGTTCATAATTTTTTTGAGTTAGAGATTTTATTTTTTATTATTTTATTTTTAATTGATGAAAGTGTGTAGTGCAATGAATTTACAGCTTATCTCCCCTTTAATTGCATTTTATAAATTCTAATATATAACATGCTTGTTGTTAATTTCTATTTCATTTTTACCCAAGAGATATCTAATAAGTGGTCTATAAATTTCTAGGTGGAAGGACTATTCTGTTTTTGTTTTTTTGAGTAAATTCCAGTTTTACTTCAGTGTGATCAAAGAGTCTTGTTTGTAATTCTTTCTCCAATAAAGTGCTAATCAAAAGTATTCAGGAATAGTTTGACTTGTTCTCAGACTCAGATGAAAATAATATTTTCATAAAATTAATTCTCATGAAAAGATATTTGCTGTTTTCCAGATTTGGTGGCCAATAAAAATATGCATTTTATAAAAATTTATTTTAGAAATACATTCATTGCTAATTCAATTCTGGCTATAATCAGAAATTATAGTGAGTCCTTTAAACATACACATATGCAGGGTTTATTTCATATTTACATATTCAAAATCTCTGAGGTGAGACTTAGGCAATAATATTTTAAAAACTCAGTATGCTATTTTTGTTGAAGAAAAGAAAAGCTGCATTTTTGTGGGTAGTTTCCCCATTTTATACAGCTTTCTAGATCATTCAATTCATTGATGTGTGGTAAATATCAAGAAAATATTTGTTCATAGTTACCCAATTATTTAGTATTTTTTGATTAACTATATTGATACAAAAAGAAGTTTAAATTTATGTCAAATTAAGTGACATAATTAAGGAGAGAAAAGATTTCAGGTGTAATGTTCCTGACACAAAGAAAATATAAATGTTTGAGGTGATAGATATCCCAAAGACCTTGATTTGATCATTACATATTTTATACATGTATCCAAATATTACATGTACTACCCAAAATATGTGTAACTATGATATATCAATTAAAATATTTAAAAATTTAAAAATCTAATCAGGACATGGAAACTCATACTGAAGGAGATTTGTTAGATATGACTCAGATCTTTTTAATAGTGCTAATTGGCTATTTTCCTTTCACAAATCAGAGAGGAGCAAAATATTTTTGGTGAGTCATTCAGTATTACTTATATCATCTAACTTAGCAAAAGCTATTTATAACAAGCACCATATGAAAACGGGCAAACATTATGAGATATTGTATGTTGATGCTCTTCATTCTTTGCAAATATTAAAACTGTGTTTTATGCATAATTTCAACAGTCTGGGAGAAGATAAGCATATGAATTAAATATTTAATTGCCTTTAGTAGAAAACCAGTTTCATATTATACATTTCTTGGTAAAAATTGCAGCATATATTTTTATATCTCTTTATTGGTGTCATAGCCCACAGTTTCACCACCCCAAAGCGTTTCCTTTATCAGTAAAGAAGCATCTGTAAGAAGGAAAAAAGAACATACAGAATTATATTCATACACAAACAAGCTGACCAAGTGGTCTTATTTAGCTAAAATGTGAAGAAAACAGAAATAATTTTTCAGACTTTTCACATTTATTGGGATAAATAATGAAAGCCTGGAATACTAGCAGTTGTGCTCATAATTATTTCTTATTCCCTGTTGGTTTTCTCTTTTTTCTTCACTGAGTGCACATTTTTATGATTAAAAGAAAAGTATTACCATAGAAAATGAATACTGTATGGTACTAGTGATGGTAGTGGATAATTTGAAAGAAGTAATATGATACAAAAATAATAAACTCACTTTTGAGAGTTACTTTTATAACCAGGCATTTTGGAAGCCATATTCTGAAAAAGAGAACAAGACAAAATCCAAGTCTACTAATATGACTGGTTTATGAGTACAAGGCCTAGAGTTCCAGATAGATGTGGGTTTTGTTCCAGGAAAGCATCTATTAAAAATAAAAGATCTGACATGTGTGTATATGCGCACATACACACATACACACATACACACACATGCACACACCATTTTTTAATGATACTCCCCCAATTAAGGATTAAAAGCCTTCTGTTTAAACATGTATCATCCTAGATTGTTATGTTAGATACATCAAGCTAGGAACCGTGTTCAGCATGTTCACATTGCACATGGCAGATACACATTTGATCAGTCAGTGAATGAGTTAGTATCCATGACCAGAAAAACATGAGCTCTTTTTCCACCTTGTTTTCACAAAGCAATTAGATAAACCCAATAAGAAAGAACACAATATCAAAAAATATATTTGAGGTAAAGGGAAATAGAATGAGCTACCTAAGGGCAGGATCCTCTAAAGATAATAAAGGCCCAGAAGTGAAAAATGATAATCCTGAACAGTCAAGGGGCAACATAAAGCCTGAACGCTGGAGAAGTGGTTTTCATGGCAAGATAGAGGGATACTAAGGTCTCTGTAGTATATGTAGAACATCTGTAGAATAGATGTTTTTCAAATGAATTTTGCCAAGACCATCCTGGGCTATCAATATTTGCCTAGAAGCTATTTTAATCAGGTTAGGTAAGAAAGATCGTGTGAACAAAGGCTGATATGACCACTCCAAAAATTCTACTCATTCTGAAAGGTGTGGATCATTTCACGGAGAAATGTAAACATTTATTTATTTAGGAAAATCTAAAAGCTAGTCAACCAAACTTCAGGATAGTTTTATCTTGGAAAAACAACAACAACAACAACAAGAAGATATGGTATTTACTTGTTAGTTTTATAGCTCTAGAAGTTAGATTTAATCACTGTTTCCCGAAAAGATCATATTCAGTTTGTCTGATTTATTCTAACCAATTTATAAGAGAATACCATCATCAAGAAATTGATAATTTATTCATTAATGTGATAAAAATAACTTACAAAGAGACCTAAAATAAATACTCTAGTAAGTGCATTTTTCCTTCTATGGCTTGAAAAAAATCAAATTATAACCAGATTTTGCTTGGCATAAAGAGATGTTATCCAACATCTTAATTAAGCCTCTTTCCAGACCACGGCAAAGCGAAATGCACTATTCTATCACTAAACTGGAACATACCTAATATGAAAATGTTTCAGTGCTCCTGTAAAAAGACCTGCCTCCTCTAATATGGAGATGTAGGCAATATAAAGAAGTGTTTTCATTTATTTTCCAAAATACTTTTCTCCTCACATACCGTGAGAATTAGAGCTGTTGCCATTGGTCTAGTTAATTGTGCTGATCCAAAAAGGACAATAAAACTGCTATCTACCTAAGAGGGCTAATGGTTATAGACTACACTAAGCCTCTAAGTTAAACTCCCAAGCTTCCAGGAAGACTAAAGATCTATCTCCCTAGATATCTACATGTAAAGGGATAAAGCCTAGTCCTTGGAGACATATCTGTATTATGACAGTGAGGCTTATCTGGCTCTCATTATGTATTTATACTTTCAAAGAGTTAAGAGTAAGAGCCTAGTGTCTTTAACATCACATAAAAGAACAGAGGCTTATCTCCATTCTTACAGGGGAAGAGGAGATAGAACCCACCTCTTGCCCACATAAAAGCACAGAAAATTCATTGTTCTCCATTTCATCCCTAGTCTAGGGAGTGTAATCCATCACTCATGTAGGCAGTTTTTAACCAGATCTTATAGCCTTGCCTACAGGTCTAGTTTTGTGTGTGGGTAGGTGCAGGGTGGATGCTAATCATGTTACTCTGGCTGCTTAGATCTAATTGTATCAAGAAAGAGCTTCTGCGCCAGGTGCAGTGGCTTATGCCTGTAATCCCAGCACTTTGGGAGGCTGAGGTGGGCGGATCACTTGAGGCCAGGTGTTCAAGATCAGCCTGGCCAACATGGCAAAACCCCATCTCTACTAAAAATACAAAAAATTAGCCAGGTGTGGTGGTGCATGCCTGTAATCCCAGGTACTTGGGAGACTGAGGCAGGAGAATCGCTTGAACCCGAGAGGTGGAGGTTGCAGTGAGCCAAGATGGTGCCACTGCACTCCAGCCTAGGTGACAGAGAGTGACTCTGTCTAAAAAAAAAAAAATAAAAGGAAAGAAAGAAAAAGAGCGTCTTCACAGCAAAATAAACTATCAACAGAGTAAACAGACAACCTATACAATGGGAAAAATATTTGCAAACTACATATCTGACAAAGTTCTAATATCCTGCACCTATAAGAAACTCAAGCAAATTTACAGAAAAAAACAACCCTATTAAAAAGTGGCAAAGAACATAAACAGATAATTTTTGAAAGAAGACATCCATGTAGCCAACAAGCATATGAAAAACTCAACATCACTGATTATTTGAGAAATGCAAATCAAAACCACAATGAGTTACCATCTCACACCAGTCAGAATAGCTATTATTAAAAAGTCAAAAAATAACAGATGCTAGAGAGGTTGTGGAGAAAAAGGAACACTTATACACTGTTGGTGGAAGTGTAAATTAGTTCAACCATTGTGGAAAGCGGTGTGGTGAGTCCTCAAAGAGCTAAAACAGAACTACCATTCAACACAGCAATCTCATTACTGGGTATGTACTCAGAGGAATATAAACCATTCTACCAGAAAGACACATACAGGCAAATGTTCACTGCAGCACTATTCACAAGAGCAAATATATGGAATCAACCTAAATGTCCACTGATTCCAGATTGGATAAAGAAAATGGGATAACTATATACCATGGAATGCTATGCAGCTATAAAAAGAATGAGATCATGTCTTTTGTAGGAACATGAATGGAGCTGGAGGCCATTATGCTTAGCAAACTAATGCAGGAACAGAAAACCAAATGCTGCATGTTCTCACTTATAAGTGGGAGCTAAATGATGAGAACTCATGGGTGCAAAGTGGGGAACAATAGATACTGGGGACTAGTTGAGGGTAGAGGGTTGAGGGAGGAAGAGGAGTAGAAAGAATAATTATTGGGTACTAGGCTTAGCACCTGAGTGACGAAATAATCTGTATACCAAATCCCCGTGACACGAGTTTGCCTGTATAACAAACTTGCACATGTACCCCTGAACCTAATACAAAAGTGAAAAGAAAGCAAGAGTTCATGTCTCATGTTTTCAGTACAGATACACACACACACGGTAACATGTCAGACTACTCATAGTTCATTTTTTTAATGACAAGAAAAATTGTATATATTTTTGGCATACAAAATGTGTGTGTATATATGTGTATATATATATGGATGTTTGTATATATATATACACATAAATATGGTAGAATAATAAAATCAAGCTCACATACTTATTTTTTTGGGGGGCGAGAACATTTAAAATTTACTCTCTCAGAAATTTTTAAGTATACAATATATTATTAAGTATAGTCACCATGCTGTAAAATAGATCTTCAGATCTATTCCTCCTGTCTAACTGAAACTTCTCACCCTTTGCCCAATATCTCCTGGTTTTCTAAACACTTCTACTAGCAGTGAACAGGGTTCCCTTTTCTCCACATTGTTTCCAACACATCTTTTGTCTTTTTGATACAGCCATTCTATCTCATTGTGGTTTTGATTTACATTTCCCTGATGATGAGTGATTTTGAGCATTTTGTAATATACCTGTTGGCCATTTGTATGTCTTTTTTGAAGAAGTATCCTCAGGCCATTTGCCCATTTCCCAATCACATTTTTTTTTATTATTGAGTTATTTAAGTTCCTTACATATTTTAAATATTAACTTTTATCAGATGAGTGGTTTGCCAATATTTTCTCCCATTCCACAGGTTGTCTTTTCACTGTGTTAATTCTTTTGCTGTGCAGAATCTTTTTAGTTTGAAGCAATTTTATTTGTCTATTTCTGGTTTTGTTTCTTATGCCTTTGAGGTTGTATCAAAAAATTATTTGCCAAGACCAACCTCAAGTACATTCTACGCAGGTTTTAATTTAGCAATTTTACAGTTTCAGGTCTTACATTTAAATCTATAATCCATTTTCAGTTGATTTTTGTGCATGGGATAAGATAAAGGTGCAATTTAATTTTTGTGCCTGTGGAGAGCAAAGTTTTTTTTCAATTTTGGAAGAACTTTACCTATTGTGTGTTCTTGGCACCTTTGTCAAATATCAGTTTGTCCAGAAATGTGTGGATTTATTTCTGGACTCTCCATTTTGTTCTGTTGATTATACATTTATTTTTATGCCAGTGCCACACATTTTTTTTTATTACTGTAGCTTTGGAATAGGTTTTGATATTAGAGAGTTTGATATCTCCAGCTGTGTTATTTTTACATAAGATTGCTTTGGTTGTTCAGGGTCTTTGGTGGTTCCATACAAATTTTAAGATTATTTATTCTATGTCTGTGAAAAATTTTAGTGGGAATTAGGAGTTTTAGTAGGAATTGTATTGAATCTGTGTATTACTTGGGTAGCCTGACTATCTTAACAAGATTAATTCTTCCAATCCATTGACACAATATATCCTCCATTTATTTTTGCCCTCATCAATGTTCTGTTGTTTTCAGTGTACAGATATTTCACCTACTTGGTTAAAATTATTCCTAAGTATTTTATTCTTTTTGATGCTGCTGTAAATGGCACTATTTTCTTAAATTTTTATGGATAGTTCATTGTTAATGTGTAGAAATGCTACTGATTTTTATGTTAATTTTTTATGCTACAACTTAACTGAATTTGTTTCTTAGATCAGTTTCTCTCTCTCCTTTTTTTTTGCTGGAGTCTTTAAAGTTTGCTATATATAAAATCATGTCAGCTGCAGAGACAAATTTACTTATTCCTTTCCAATTTTGGATATCTTTTATTTATTTTTGTTTCCTATTGCTTTGGCTAGGACTTCCAATTCTATGTTGAATAAGAGTGGCTAGAGTAGGCACCACTATCTTTCTCCTGATATTAGAGGAAATGATTTCAACTTTTTGCCATTGAGTATGATGTTATCTGTGGGCTTGTGATATATGGTAATTATTGTGTTGAGGTACATTCTATAATAGATTTGTTGGGAATTTTTATATTCAATTTTATAAAATGATTTTTCTGCATCTATTGAGATAATTATATGATTTTTGTCCTTCAAAAATGGTAATGTGTTCTATCACATTTACTAATTGTCATATGTGGAATTATTCTTACATCCCAGGAATAAATCCCACTTGATTGCTAAGTGATCCTTAAATTTTGTATTGTTTGCTAGCATTTTGTTGAAGCTTTTTGTATCTATATTCTTCAAGGCTATTTGCTTGTAATTTTCTTTTCTTGTAGCATTTTTTAATGACTTTGGTATCAACGTAATGCTGGTCTCATAAAATGAGGTTAAAAGTATCCCCCTCTTTCCTCTTTATTTTTTTTTTGGGAGAGATTGAGAAAAATTGATATTTTAGTTCTTCTTTACATGGTTGATAGAATTGAGCAGTGAAGGCAACAGAACTTGGGCTTTTCTTTAATAGGATTTCTTCTATTACTAATTCAGTCTCCTTATTCATGATTTGTCAGTTCAGATTTCCATCCTTCCTGGTCCAGTCTTAGTAGATTGTTTGTGTCTAGGAATGTATACATTTCTTCCAGATTATCATATTATTGGCATATGAGTACTTTTAGTAGTAACTTGTTATCCTTTATCTTCTGTTGTGTCAGTTGTAGTGTCTTCTCTTTCATTTATAATTTTATTTGAATCTTCTTTCCTTTTGTCTTAATTGAGCTAAAGGTTTGTTGTTTTTGTTTGCTTCTTTAAAAAAATCTCAGTTAATCAGGATTATTATTTTCCAGTCTCCATTTTATTTATTTCTTCTCTGTGTTATTTCCCTCCTTCTACTAACTTTGACTGAGTTTGTTCTTCCTTCTCTAGTTCCTTGAAGTGTCACATTGTGTTGTTTATTTGAGATCTTTCATCTTTTATAATGTAGGCATTTATCATTATAAATTTCTCTCCTAGAACTGCTTTTGCCACATCCCATGTGTTTTGACATGTTGTGTTTTATTTTGTTTTGTCTCAAGATACTTAAAAATTGGTTTTATTGATTGATTGATTCATTGGTTGTTCAGAAGCATGTTAATTTCCATGTACTTGTGAATTTTCTAAAATTCTTCTTGATGTTGATTTCTAGTTTTATAACACTGTAGTTAGAAAAGATACATGATATGACTTTAGTCTCTTTAAATTGTTAAGACTTGTTTTGTGGTCTAATATATGATCTATATGTGATCTGGAGAATGTTCTGTGTGGGCTTGAGAAGAATGTCTATTCAGATGCAGTTAGATGGAATGTTCTATATATGTCTGTTAGATCCATTTTTGCTAAAGTGTAATTCAAGTTCAATGTCTCCTTACTGATTTTCTGTCTGTATAATCTATTCATTTTTGAGACTGGAGTATTGAAGTACGCTACCATTATTTTATTGTAATCTATCTCTATCTTCAGATCTACTAATATTTCTTTACATATTTAGTTTTTCCAATGATGAATGCATACATATTTACAATTGTTATATCTTCTCATTTAATTGACACTTTTATTATTATCTAATGACCTTCCTTGTCACTTTTTACAGTTTTTGATTTAAAGTCTAATTTTGTCTGATAGAAAAATAGGTATCTCTACTTTCTTTTGGTTTCTATTTGCATGAAAAATCATTTTCCATCCCTTCCCTTTCATTGTGAATATCGTCAATGTGGAAGTGGGTATCTTTTACAACATGTTTTTATTTTTACTTTTTAAAAAATTTTCAGTTATTATGGGTACATAATAGCTATATTGCAGTGAGTCTCTTATAGGCAACACACAATTGAGTCTTATGTTGTCATTTTATATGTCTTCATAATGTTAATTATCTCCTTTTGTGTCAGCTTGAAGACTCACCTCAACATTTCTTGTAAGGTAGGTCTAGTGGTGATGAGCTCCTTTAGCATTTGCTTCTCTATGAAAGTTTCTTTTTGCCTTCACTTCTGAAGGAAAGCTTTGATGAGTAAATTATTTTTGGCTAGAAGCTTTTCTTTTTCTTTCTGCACATTGAATATATCATTCCACTCCTTCTTGGCCTAGTTTCTGTTGAGAAATCCATTGTCTTATGAACATTCTCTGGTATGTTAGGATCTTAGTTGTTTTTTGTTTCTGTTGTTGTTGTTGTTGTTGTTGTTGTTGTTGTTGTTGTTGTTGTTGCTGCTGCTGCTGCTGCTTTCAATAATCTCTTGTTTTGATTTTTGACAGTTTGGCTACAATATGTCTTGATGTCATTTTCCCTGGATTGAGTATCTTTGGAGACTTTTCAGCTTCTTGTATTTGGTTGTTTATATTTTCTTCAGATTTAGAAATTTTTGAGCCATTATTTTTTAAATCAGATTTTTGTTCCTTTCTTTCTCTTCTCCTTGTAATTCTATAATAAGTAAATTAGCTATCTTGATGTTTTACTGTAAATCCCATAAGATTTCTTCATGACTTTTTCAGTCTATTTTTCCTACTAACTGCATATTTTTAAATAACTGTGTTTGAGTTCAAAGGTTCTTTATCTTCCTTGATCAATTCTGCTGTTGATGATGTGCTCTATTGCATGTTTAAATTTCATTCATTGTTTACTTTAACTCCTGAATTTCTGTTTGGTTCTTTATTATTATTTCAGTTTTTCTGTAAATGTCTTGTTTTGGTCATGTATTATTTTATGATTTTGTCCAGTTGTTTTTCTGTGTTCTTTTGAAGTTTGCTGAGCTCTCATAAAATAATTATTTTTAATTATCTGTCATGTAATTTATAGATCTCCATTTATTTGGGGCTTGTTACTGTGAAATTATTATGTTCTTTGGGTAGTGTTATGTTTCCCTATTTTTAAAAATATTTCTTGTTGCTTTGCATTGATGTCCACACATTTGATGGAGCAGTCACCATTTTAAGACTTTATGAACTGGTTTCAATAGGAAAAGTCCTTCCTCTATGGGTGGGTGTGGGGGTGCTAGCAAGGTAGTTTGTAATACTTCTGGCTCTGTGGGCACAGGAGTATCGTTTACATTGAGCTCTGTCAGCTGAGGTCTGTGTTGGCAAAACTTGTAGGGATTTTATGCAGTCAAGGATGTGGATGATTACAGTGGCAACCATAGCTTTGGGGTCTTTGGTGGAAAAGGCTGCTAGGGCCCTTCCAATCTGTTTATCCCACCCGAAAAGTCACGGCCAAGGGGATCCCTCTTGGTGCTGGCTCTGGCTGGAGGGCTTTCTTGTGGTAATGGCCATGGGGTCTGGTTTGCAATGCCCATGGAGCTGCCACAGAGCTGGAGTCTGAAACATGGACATACATAAAGAAACCAAGGCTCTAGGGTTGGGGCAGAGGTAACACCAATGTCACAAACACAGACACCCTCACTGTCACATTGGGAATGGTGTATGAGGCATGGGTGCTTGTGGGACAGCCAGGGATTTGGGGTCTGGAGTCCAGGCATGAGCAGAGCTGCAGCATTTCAAAGGCCAAAGATGCAAAGTAGCCTATAGTGACACTGGCTCCAGTGTCTGAGGCATGGGTGTACACAGTGCAGCCACAGAGTTAGGATCTAGAGCATGGGAATGTAAGGAGCTACAGCAACTTTAGGATCTAGGGAGTGGACTAGCTTGCTGTACTGGTAGCTCAAATGTCAGAGAAATGGGTGCTCATGGAACAGCTGTGGAGCTAGAGTCAGAAGTTAGGGGACATGAGAGCAACCATGGTTCTAAGGTCCAGGGTGCAGCTAGCCCATAGCCACAGTGGTTCTGATGTTTGAGGCCTTCATGTTCCCGGCATGGCCATAAAGTACAAGTCTGGAACACAAGCAAGCATAGAGTGGCTAAAGAGGTGAGATTTGGTGTATGGGCACATGTGGGGTGACTATGGCACTAAGGGCATGGGCATGCATGATGCTGGGAAGGGTAACAGCTCCAGTTCCAGGAAGATACAATAGCAACTTCTTTTTGCAGTATGTTCCAGAGGGAATAGAACAGGGATGACTGTTGGTTACCTCAATGGCAAAAATTGTCAATGTCATTTGCAAAGCAAGCTGATGAGGATTGTGGTGGCACCCACCCTGTGGCTGATACTAATAGCCATAATATTTCTTCTTTATTTCTAGCCATCTCCAGGCACCTCAGATGTACCAAACTTTGTAGCAATACCTTTTATTCAGTTATTCTTTTTCTTTTTTATATATGCTGCACCATGTTGCTGCATGTGCTTACATGCACACTTGAGCCCTCCCAAAGCTGTTTTCATTGGTGGATAACTATCAATTTTTTTTATTTTTTTGTGGAGACGGAGAGTAGAAGGCTTGCATTTCCTACTTTACTCTCTTATTGGTGCCATCTCATTCACAGTACTTGACAAAACATTTTCATGAGCCAAAGACAATTCTCTAAACATTACTGGATTTATTTGTATCATAGTTACCCTAGCTCTACCTGGTTCTTTTGTTGATATATTGAATTTTGAGTAGTAGCCATTTTCAGGAGGGAAGTTTGAACAAATATTTATAAACAAAAATTCAAGTGATAATATAAATATATTCAGAACTCTAGAAGTAAGCTACATACGTTAGGTTAGTTCAAAAACCGCAATTCCTTTTTCACCAACATAATACAATGTGCTGAGATGAGTATCAGATAATAGGAACATCAAATGAAGTCTATCTGGTACTAGAGAGTGAGTAGTGAATGTTGTAAAGGACCCAAACTGGAAATGGAGATAGCTGAGATATGAGATCACAGAACATGTTTAAATAAGGTCTCTACATATTTATATAGGTGGATTGGCTAGATTTAAGACGGCATAGCCTGGAGGTGAAAGGCATCTGTTCAGAGGCTATTAGTAGAGCCCTAATGAGAAATAATGAAGTTCTCTATTATGGCCAATAACAGTACTTAGAAACCAGAATGTGAATTAGAAATGCAACTACTTTCTGAATGCACTTAACAGAAGTAGTTTCTTGTGCAAAATTAGAATATAAGTTTAAATTTTAATAAGGAAAAAACTGGAATCTCTGTATCTGGCTATTTCATTTGCATTTTACACTATTAACTACATAAATTGCAGTTACATTTACTTGCCCTCTCTTCAAGTTGTCCTAAATACTTCTTAGACATATAAGAGATATGTAAATTGAATGAGTCAAGGAATAAATGAATTAATTAAACAATTATTATACAATTACATTTCTATATGTATGCTAAATATTAGATGAAAGCTTTTAAATCATTAAATACTGTCATGAAATAGATCTGTTTAATCTAGAAGCATCTTAATTTTATTTAGACACTTTGGTATAAGCAACTATTAACATTAGATAACATTTAATATATAATAAATTGTGTTTAAAAATTTAGTGATTTTTCAGGTATTTCTGGCTATCTTTATAAGAATGTAATCTCCTTGAGAACAGAAACTTTATCTTATTCACTACTGTATCTTTGAATGCTAGAGCAATTTTACATCTCTTTCAATAAATCTTGAATAAATGAATAAGGATGAGCTCTCTAGAAATGTCACATCCTGAAAGCTCTTACTTTTGAATATTAATAAACATATAAAAGCAAGTAAGTAACTTCTGTATTAGGAATAGGAATAAAAGGCACAATTTTAGAAGGTTCACAAAGAGTATTAATGAATGAAGAAGTTCTTATATTAGTTAACATTTTCCAGAGAAACAGAACCAATAAGATGTATGTTTGTGTGTGTGTGTGTGTGTGTGTGTGTGTGTGTTTGTGTGTGTGTGTGTGTGTGTGTGTGTGTGTGTACAGAGAGAGATTTTAAGGAATTGGCTCATGTGATTGTAGGGCTGGTAGTTCCAAAATCTTCTTAGCAGGCCTGCAGGCTGGAGACCTGAAGAAGAATTGATGATGCAATTTTGAATCCAAAAGCAGTCTGGAGGCAGAATTTCTTCTTGTTTGTGGAAACTCAGTCTTTGAAGATCTTCAGTTGACGAGATGAGGCTTACCCACATTATGGAAGATAATATTTTCTACTCAAAGTCTATGCTTTAAATGTTAGTCAGAAGGCTGGCCAAGATGGTTGACTAGAGATAGCTAGTGTGCTCCAGTCTCATGGAGAGCAATACAAGGGATGAGTAAATACAGCACCTTCAACTGGAACATCCAGGTACAGTCATTAAGAATCATCAATAAAACAACTCAACCCATGAAGAATGGAGTAAAACAAAACAAGATGACTCCCCACATGGGAGCAACATGGAGCCAGGAGAGCCTCCCCCATTCAGGAAAGCAGTGAGTGAGTGAGTGACCCTGGCCACCCACACTTCTCCCACGGATCTTTGCAACCCTCGGGTCAGGAGATCCCCTTGTGAACCCACTCCACCAGGGCTTTCAGTCAGACACACAGAGCTACATGGGCGCTCAACAGGGCAGCTGCTCAGGCACACATGGAGCCCCAAGAGATTTAGAAATCTGGGATTCCCAGCAAAGGCAGCTACAACTCTGGCAAAGCAGGAGGTTAGAACCCTGTACATACTCTTAGGAAAGGAGCTGAATCCAGGTGGCTAAGCAAGAGGTTAAAACCCCATACATACTCCTAGGAAAGGACTTGAATCCAGGTGGCTGAGTAGCAATCATCTGCAAGCTCCATTTCCATGGCATTTCACAGGGTAAAACCTACTGGTTTGGAACTCCAGTCAACCACCAGTAGCAGTCTTACACCTCCCTGAGACAGAGCTCCCAGAAGAAGGGGTAGTCTACCATCTTTGCTGTTTTGCAGGCTTAGACATTATTGCTTTCATTGCAACCACTCTATGGCTTGATCCATCACAATCTAGTAGGCTTTAAGGCTGGGATACAAGGTTGTTTCCACATATGCAAATCAGTAAAAGTGATTCACCACATAAACAGAACTAAAGACAAAAAAACCACATGATCATCTCAATAGATGCAGAAAAGGGTTTTGATAAAATTCAACATCCCTTCATGTTAAACACTCTCAATAAACTAGGTATTGAAAAAGTATACATCAAAAAAATAAGAGCCATCTATGACAAACCCACAGCCAACATCATACTAATTGGGCAAGAGCTGGAAACATTCCCCTTGAAAACCAGCCCAAGACAAGAATGCTCTCTTTCACTACTCCTATTTAATACAGTATTGGAAGTCTTGGCCGGAGCAATCAGACGAGAAAGAAATAAAGGAAATCCAAATAGGAAGAGAGAAAGTCAGACTATCTTTGTTTGCAGATAACATGATTTTATATCTAGAAAACCCTATAATCTTGGCCCAAAAGCTCCTTCAGCCAATAATCAACTTTAAGTTTCAGGATACAAAGTCAATGTACAAAAATCGCTATCATTCCTATACAACAACAACAGCCAAGCCAAGAGCCAAATCAGGAACACAATCCCATTCACAATAGGCGCAAAAGGAATAAAATACCTAGGAATATAGCTAACCAGGGAGGTGAAAGACCTCTGTAATGAGAATTACAAAACACTGCTGAAAGAAATCAGGGATGATACAAACAAATGGAAAAATATTCCATGCTCATGGATAAGAATAATCAATATCATTAAAATGGCCATATTTCCCAAAGCAATTTACAGATTTAGTGCTATTCCTGTCAAACTACCAATGACATTCTTCACAGAATTAGGAAGAAAACTATTTTAAAATCAATATGAAACAAACAAACAAAAAGCCTGAATAGCCAAAGAAGTCCTAAGCAAAAATAAGAAAGCTGGAAGCATCAATTTCCAGGTGAAAGCTAGAAGCTACCCAACTTCAAACTATACTACAGGGCTACAGTAACCAAAAGAGCATGATAATAAAACAGACACATAAACACATAAACCAATGGAACAGAACAGAAAGCCCAGAAATAAGGTCGCACACCTGCAACTATCTGATATTAGATAAAGCTGACAAAAACAAGCAATGGGGAAAGGATTCCCTATTTAATAAATGGTGCTGGGATAGCTGGCTAGCCATATGCACAAGACTGAAACTGGACCCCTTCCTTACAGTATATAGAAACATTAACTCAAGGTGGATTAAAGACTTAATTGTAAAACTTAAAACTATAAAAACCCTAGAAGATAACCTAGGCAATATCATTCTGGACATAGGACCTAGCAAAGATTTCATGACAATGACAAAAGCAATCACAAGAAAAGCAAAACTTGAACAAATGGGATCTAATTAAACTTAAGAGGTTCTGCACAGTAAAGAAAACTGTCAACAGAATAAACAATACACAGAATGAGAGAAAACATTTGCAAACTATGCATCTGACAAAGGTCTAATATCCAGCATCTACAAGGAACTTATATATATGTGTGTGTGTGTGTGTGTGTGTGTGTGTATATATATATATATATATATATATATATATAATATATATAACAATTCCATTAAAAAGTGAGCAAAGAACATGAACAGACACTTCTCAAAAGAAGACATATATATAGCTTACATATAAAGCATATGAAAAACCCTCAATATCACTAATAATTAGCAAAATGAAAATCAAAAGTACAATAAGATACCATCTCACACTAGTCAGAATGGCTGTTATTAAAAAGTCAAAAATAACAGAGGTTGGGCTGGGCACGGTGGCTCATGCCTGTAATCCCAGCACTTTGGGAAGATCACTTGAGGCAAGGAGTTCGAGACCAACCTGGCCAACATGCAAAACTACATTTCTACTAAAAATAAAAATAATAAAAAAAAAAAAAATTAGCTGAGCATGGTGGTGTGTGCCTGTAGTCCCAGCTACTTGGGAGGCTGAACCTGAGAGGTGGAGGTTGCAGAGCTGAGATCGGGCCACTGCACTTCAGCTTGGGTGACAGAGCTCTGTCTCAAAAATAAAATAAATGAAATAAAAATAAAATAAATGAAATAAAAATAAAATAAAATGAAAATAACAGAGGCTGGCATGTTTGGAGAGAAAAAGGAATACTTATACAGGGTTAGGAGTATAAATTAATTCAACCATTGTGGTGATTCCTCAAAGAGCTAAAAGCAAAACTAACATTTGACCCAGAAATTCCATTGCTCGTTATATACCCAAAGGATTAAAAATTATTCTATCATAAAGACACATGCACATATATGTTCATTGCAGCACTATTTACAACAGCAAAGACATGGAATCAACCTAAATGCCCTCTGATGGCAGATTGGAAAAAGAAAATGTGGTACATACACACCATGCAATACTATGCAACCATAAGAAAGAATATCATGTTATTTACAAGAACTTAGTTAAATCTGGAGGCCATTATCCTTAGCAAACTAATGCAGAAACAGAAAATGAAATACCACATGTTCTCACTTATAAGTGGGAACTAAATGATGAGAGCACATGAACACAAAAAGGGGAACAACAGACACTAAAGCCTACTTGAGGATGGAGGGTGGGAGGAGGTAGAGGATCAGAAAAAATAACTATTTGGTACTAGGCTTACTACCTGGCTGACTAAATAATCTGTACACCAAACCTGTGAGTCACAAGTTTACCTATATAACAAACCTGCACATGTACGCTGAACCTAAAATAAAAGTTTAAAAAATTAAAATATGAATTTCAAAAGAAATTATATAAATAGAGCAGACAATCCTCTGTAGATCTGGAACCATTTGATGGCTGCTACGTATATGAAATTGCCTGAATCATATTTGCTTTACTTAGACATAAAATCAGTGTTAATTACAATTTAAAATACCTTCACAGCAATGTCTAGACTAGTATTTGACCAAATAACTTGCCACAATAGTCTAGCCAAGTGACATGTAAGATTAACCATCATCACAGCTCTCCATGGCAAATAAAAGAATTTCTTTTAGTAGTATCTGGTTGAGTGGAGTACATATTATGAGCACAGTGTAAATGCATGAATATAGCATTACAGATACTTAGACACTGTAAGAGATTGAAGTTATTTTTTGTTGTGATACCAAAAATATTTCATAGTGCTTTTTCATACACATAGAAGAAACTACAGAATCATTAAAATTTTGTAATTAAATTACTTGTAGAGGTGAATTGATATGTTTTTATGAGTACAGCATAATTGACAATTTTTAAATTTTACTTCCTTATAATTCAATCCTTTTCTTGGTTCACTTTTTAAAAAATTCTTACCTATTGTTTGAAATTCTTTCAAGTGATGATTTACCCTGTCTGTTGAACTCTGTGGCAGTTTTGCATATGGTGGCTCTTCAGTGTGCTTTTCAATAATTATTAGCATAGGAATTAAAATGACAATTGGGCTGGAAGGAAAATATTGATGGCCATCATTTGCATTTCAGACACAACTGTTGAAGGTACAATCTTTAAAATGAAACTTCATCCCTAAGGCTAGAAAATATGAGATTATTCTTTTAATTCTCACCAAGGATATAGTTTATTTTCTCATCAGCTCATGGATCTTTGCTCTGCCACAAGCTCTGTAAGTATATCAGTGATTAAGTGAAACAGCCAATGATAAAAGTATAGCATTGACTGCTGGAGGCCATTGCTATTTCCCTCCGCCTCCCCCTTGGACTACAACATTGAACTATTGATTCATTATTAATAGCTTTTTAGCCTCAAAGCAAACTTTTACTGTTACATTGCTGTATTCTGAAGATGGCAAAAACAAAAGAAGTCATCCTTCAGATCAGCATGTTTTCCTTCTTGTAAAAGTTTCCAAAATGTATTCATAGCAGTGTCTTGCTCAGAGTTCCAGCACTTTGTATTCTCCAGGAAGATTTATTCAGGCTAAATTATGAGATGATATTCAGCCAGTGCGTTTTCTACCATTTCCTGCAAATGTCCATCATGGCATTCTCAAATGAATTTGCTTGGTACAAAAGTGACAATTGATTGTGAATAAGTTTTACTTTTTCTAGCAAGCTCTTCATTGAGTATAATTACACGGTCTAGGGACAAATATTTTGAAATATATTGATATTCAGTTTTTCTCCTATTCTTATCAGATGGACATATAGTAAGAAATCTGTTCCAAAAGGATTCATAAATACCGAATAAGAGTGCCTGTGAGGATTGCTTACAGCTATAAATGGTTTATAGAGACAAGATTTAAAATTCATTGGATCTCTGTTAAAAATAATATTGTTAGTGTGTTGGATAGATCAAAGGTTTGAGCTATCATGAGGCAGAGTGTTTCACCTCTAGCTCAGTGATATGATTCTCTTTCAAACCGTCCTTAATTTAAAGACCGAGAAGTGAGTTTTCTCTCTGTACACTTCCAAGTAAAAAAGCAATGTTAGTAAATACAAGTAAAAAATAAAAAAAAAAAAAATTATGCTCCAAATTCTCTCTCTCTCTCTCTCACACACACACACACACACACACACACACACATCTTTAATTAGATTATTATTTATAATCTAAGAAAAAATAAAAGAAAAATAAAGGACTTTGCTTGTTATGGCATAATGTCATCCAATAAAATAACTGAATAATTTTACCAGGAAATTGTGCTCTTTTTGAGGTTTGCAAGTGTTTTTCCATCCAAAATATCTGCATAAAAGTTTTCATGTATTTCCTATTTATCTAAAATATAAAAAGCAAAGAAAATATAGTTTCCTTTTAGTCATGCTCTAATATCTGTCCCAATTGTTCTTATCTTCTGAGTGCATCCTAACCTTTTTGTCTGTAAGTTCATTGTAATTCTCATGGCTCTTAGCATACAGCATTACAAATTTCTCAACAACCTGCTTAGTTCCACTCTGTGCATTGTGTTTATTTCAAATCATATAAATTGGTGTCAATTCTGTTATTAAAAACATGGAAAGAATAAGACCTTGCTTTTTATAAATTTCTTCATTTATCTCAGTATTTAATGACCTTTGCAAAGAGAAGGAGGTTTTAATTTATTTTGAGCCTAAATCCTAACTTTGTGATTTAAGCTTAGTTTATTTCTTATAATAAATATTTATATATATATGATGATTATAGTCAGTCTCCTTACTGCCCAAATTAGAGACAGCCTCAATTTTGTAAAATGCCTTTTTTTTAAAAAACAAATTTTAGCACCATCTGTGGTTTAAGTCCCTTTATTTCAGTTCCAGCTGCATACATGCAATTCTACTCACTAGCTATGTCAAATTTTGTCTTCTTAGATGATCAATCAGTTATACTTCCTTCATTCTATATTAAAGTAGTATAGCCCTTTCATTTTTACTAAGTAATGCTTGTTATAATATTTCCAAGTGGCTCCAACTATCCTGAGCTAGCTAGAGAAAATAACATATTTTGAAATATAATCACTTCTAAAGCCTTGTTAGGTGTTGGTCAAGATAAAAAACCATTAACTTGTCTTCAAAATTTCCATGTGTAGCCGTGAGTACAAAAGAGAATTTACATTTAAAAAATGTAGACTTTCAGAAAACAAACCAAACTTTAAGGGATAATTTTCATTTGTCTTTGAAGTGTGACAAAACAGAAAAATGACTAATAAAAACCAAGAAATGAGATACTTTGAAGAAGGACATAGTAAATCATGAAATTCTGCAGAGACAGGAATACAGAGGCAGAAGAAAGATTACTTATTCTGTTATAAGAAAATCGTGGGTAATATTAGTGTAATTTCATTAAAGTGGCATGTAAGTTAAATAAAGTTTGTGTGGGAGGAAGAAAGAAGCATGTGAAAACAGGGCCAGCACGGTGGCTCACAACTCTAATCCCAGAACTTTGGGAGGCTGAGATGGGTGGATCACCTGTTGTCAGGAGTTGAGACCAGCCTGACCAACATAGCGAAACCCCATCTCTACTAAAAATACAAAATTAGCCAGGCATGCATAATCCAACCTACTTGGGAGTCTGGGGCAGGAGAATCACTTGAACCCGGGAGGCGGAGGTTGCAGTGAGCTGAGAGCGCATCAATGCACTCCAGCCTGGGTAACAAGAGCAAAACTCCATCTCAAATAAATAAATAAATAAATAAATAAATAGATAGATAGAAGCATGGAAAAACAAAGTTGAATGCTGAAATCATCTTAGCCCCCAGAAATGTCAACATGCTATCAGTAAGATGCAAACATGTTTCTGATTTTTAGTGAGGCCCCGGATGAAGTTAAGCAGTATGAGTTTGTATTAAATTCAATAGACAAAATTAAAAAAATGTATCTGATAATGTTTAGGAGACTGAATTTAGAGGGGGAGAACATGAAGAAGAGTGTTGAATTAGCAAATAAGGAGACAAAGTTTTATAGAGCAAGGAGCCTTATAAGGCACATATTTATTTATTTATTGAATCTTATGACTAAGGGCTTGGAGGAATGAGGGACTCACAGTCTTGCTGATGAGGCAGAGGGAGTAATGGGGAAAGGAGATAGATGGGTGCAGTCCCAGAGAAGAACTACAGTATTATAGACATTGAAGACAGTATATTTACAACCAAGCTAGGGGTGGAGGAATGACAGTGAAGTAGAGTGGAGATGGAAAGCACTAGGGCTTCCTCCCTTCCAGCAGGAGAAATTTCTCTCTTTCTGATAGAGATTACTATCTCCATCTGTGCTGTGTATAACTCAGGCAAACTGCCTCAATCCATCATCCCTCCTCCTCCTCAAGCTCTGGGCTATTTTCCTGTGGCTTCTTTAGCAGATAAGCATATACACCAGTTAAAAACACTTCTATCATGGAAGGAAGAAAGGAAACAAAAAGGAAATGTGATGGTCAACTTTATGTGTCAACTTGGAAAATGTTTTTGAATGAAATTTACAGTTATATCAGTGAACTTTCAGTAAGCAAATGGCCCTCCGTAACATGTGTGGACCTCATGCATTCTGTTGAAGGCCTGAATCTAATAAAAAGACCCACCTCCCAAACAAGAAGAAATTGTCCAGCAGATTGCTTTCAGATTAGAATTGTACCATGGGCTCCTCTGGGTCTCAAGCCTGGCATCCCACACTACATTTGGACTTCCCAGTCTCCATAATCATTTCTATAATCATGTGAGTCAGTCTATATATACACACACACATATTGTGAAAGTTGTCAAATTAAAATAGAGTCAGTTGTGTCATATCCTGGCAAAACAGAGCTGGCAAAGGCCATGAAGGGAGGGCTCTCATGCACAATTTGCCTGATAACAGAAACTATCACAAGAAATTTTTCCAAACCACAGCTTACTGCATGAGTCACACAAAGACAGATAGCAGCACAAGGACAGCTAGCTGCTTATACAAAAACATTTGCCTGACACACTGTCTCACAAGCCCAATCCTATGAAACAGCCTGCTGTAGCTAAGATTACAAGTTTTATCTAGCAACTGCCACCACTCACCAATCACAGCTTGCCAGCTCCCAAAAGACATTCTGACACCAGTAAGCTTATCTTTTCCCAGTGAAATCCTGTTTATCCTTTGTTCTCCAGACATACTGGAGACCACCCTGATCTGTATGTGTGTCCTGAATTGCAATCCTATTTCTAGTATGTTATTCCCAAATAAAAGAAAAAAAACTTTTTACTTAGAGATTTGTCTCTCTATATTTTATGTTGACTCTGTGTGTGTGTGTGTGTGTGTGTGTGTGTGTGTGTGTGTGTGTGTCCTATTGGTTCTGTATCTCTGGAGAACCCTTACTAATTCAGGAAGGAAGAAAGGAAATAATCTAGCATGGAACTCCAGTTTCAATTTCTGTATTCGTTAGGTCAAGGAATACTAGTTCTTATATGAAAACAAATACATGATCAAGGAGTTCTGTGACTTAATATAACATGTATTTCTCAATAAAAATCTGATGTAGTTATTCTTGGTAGCATGATTCTTTGGGAATTTTTCCTTTTATCAAATACTCCAGGATTCAAGCTGTTCCAATTTAGGATGCTACCTTAAATACCTCTCTCATCGAGGCCTGTATCCAGCTGAATTTGAGGAAATAGCAAGAAAGTGAAGGAGATTTTGAGATATTTTAGAGAACATCTAGAAATGCTATACATTATTTCTGTTCATAGTCCATTGGTCAGAAATAATCACTTGGCCATACATAAAATCAAGATGAGCTTTTTACTCTTTTCACATACCCAGTACGCAATAAATTATTACTTAAACACATCAGATACTTATGCCACAGTAGTCATAATTTTTAGTGAAAGAAATATATATGAAGTATATCATTATTGCTTGTTAATACCATTCTCAGGTAGGGCATATTTATATTTTTATACAGTTTTTCTGTTTTCTTTAGAATTAGTCATTTTGCTTTTGTGTTTTTTCTGTATTACTCTTATTAACTAATTTCCAATCTCTAAAGTAAATATAAATCTTAAGATAATCAAACATATCACATTCTATTAATTTCATTTTCTTGAAGATATTTCTCCTATATAAAATTTCTCACTCATAATCTTGACTATTTACTTCCTTTTTGTCACCTATAGTTTTCATTCTAGGGCCTTTTTTGATTGTGATCAGTATTATCTCTTTTCCTGCTCTCTCTCTTTTTTTTATCCTGTTAATTTTTGTTGTCATTTTGTCCTTTTACTGTATTCACTTGAGCTTCAATACACATGTTCAATCAACAGTCTTAAAACACAAGCTAACTATATTACATTTACCTCCTGAAATTTCTTTACCCTTCATTTAGACATGCTGAATTCTTTGTAGTTCTAAACTTGTCATGTTATGTCATTCCTTCCTGACATTTGCAATACTGATCTCTCCAGCAAAATCAATCTTTGAATATTTGAAAGTTGGAGTGTAATTATTAGCTCCCTCTCTTCTATTTGACAAAATATTTTCCATTAAAAATCATGAAATGAGATGATCAATTTTAATGGCCAGAAAAAAAAGAAAACAAAACAAAATACCACAATCTTCTTGAAGGTTGTTTACATAATCATGCTAGTAAAAAACAGAGAGAAAAAACACACTAAAATAATTCTATAGTATGATAAAATAACTGATTAATAATTTTGATTAAATTAATATATATTTTAAATGGGGATTATATTTATATATTGGCTTGTTGATGTCTTAATAGCATTATTCTTCCTATTTTGAAACCTTAATCCCTACAAGTTTGTCATAGATTTCATCACAGTTTATCTTCTTTGCAAAAGGTACAAGGAACTAAGCATACTTCTTTTTGTATTTTTTAGCAAAAGGCTTCTAAAAAGCCTATGCAGAATTTTTGAAGCATGGTCTGTGAATATGATGGAATATCACTCTCATGAATAGGTAACTAATCTCTTAACTTTGAGTTAATCAAAATGAAGCTGAATGTGGGTGGTCCTGACCTAATCAGATGAGCCTTTAATAAAAGAAGCATCGTTGAGGCATTCTGCTGGCCTGGAATATGCAGCCTTCATAATGTCTACAGCTGAAAGGAAATTGAATTTGGTAATAATCTTTTGAGCTTGGAAGAAAAGCCCAAACTCCAGATGAGATTACAGCCTAGCTGATGTCTTGATTTCAGCCTGTGACACCCTGAGCAGAGAGTTCAATTATGCTGTTCCCATTCTTCTAATTCTACTCCCACAAAATCTCTGAGATTATAAATGAATGCTGTTTAATTTTAATTTTTATTTTTCAATCTGGGGTACATGTGCAGGATGTGCAGGTTTGTTACATAGGTAAATGTGTGCAATGGTGGTTTGCTGCACCTATTAACCCATCACCTAGGTACAAAAACAGACACATAGACCGATGAAACAGAATAGAGAACTCAGAAATAAGATTGCATATCTAAAACTATCTGATCTTTGACAAACCTGACACAAACAAGCAATGGAGAAAAAATTCTGTATTTAATATATGGTGCTGGGAGAACTGACTATTCATTTGGAGAAAATTGAAACTGGATCCCTTCCTTACACTTCATACAAAAATTAACTCAAGAGGGATTAAAGGCTTAAATGTAAACTCCCAAACTATCAAAACTCTAGAAGAAAATCTAGGCAATACCATTCAGAACATAGGCATGGGCAAAGGTTTCATGATGAAATCGCCAAAAGCAATTGCAACAAAAGCAAAAATTGACACATGGGTTATAATTAAACTAAAGAGCTTCTGCACAGCCAAAAAAAGAAAAAATCTACCATCAGAGTGAACAGGAGACCTATAGAATGGGAGAAAGGTTTTACAATCTATCCTCTTACAAAGGTCTAATACGCAGAGTCTACAAGGAACTCAAACAAATTTACAAGAAAAAAAAAACATTAAAAAATACGCAAAGGTCATGAACAGACACTTCTCAAAAGAAGACATTCATGCAGCCAACAAACATATGAATGTTGTTTTAAGCCACTGAGTTGGTAGTAATTTGTTATGCGGCCATAGAAAACTAAAAAAAACCAAAAAATAGTAAAACTGCAGGCCCTAATCCTAATGGATATAGACACAAAATTCTCAAAAATATTAGCAAATGAAATCCATGAATATATAAAAATAATACATCATTCCCAAATTGGGCTTATACTGAGAATAAGATGGTCTTATATTTAAAATATAAATCAATACAATCTACTATATTAACTGCAAAGGAGGAAAAAATATATGCTAATATCAATTTATACAGAAGATCATATGACAGAATTCAATCCCCATTTATAGTAAAAAGTCCCCCAGCTAGCTCTAGATGGGAGTTACTCAACATGATAAAGGGCAGCTAGGGTAGACTGACAGGTAACAGCAACATTAATGGTAAAATAATGATTATTTTCCTCTAAGATCTGTGAGAAGGGAAGAATGTCTTCTCTCTTCACTCTTAAACAACCTAACATTGATAAGTCAGTGCAAAAAAGAAGTAAAACAAATAAAAGGTATACCAATTGAAAGGGAAAAATACAATTTTTCTTCCTCACACTGACATAAATCATTTCTGGAAAACTGCAAAGAACCTACAATGAAAGGAAAAAGATAGCCCTTCTAAAATATTAGCTAGAATATAATTTCAATGCACATATTTCAATAAAATGTCTATATAGTAGAAATACAAATGGAATTTGAAATTTCAAAATTATACCATTTACAAGAACTCTTCAAAATTAAATACTGAGGTATAAATCTAACATAATGTAACTCCATCTCAAAGAGATATCCATACTCTTACATTTATTGAAGCAGTATTCATAATAGCCAAGATATGAAAACAACCTAAGTGTCTATTGTTAGATGAATGAATAAAAGAAGTGTGTCTATGTATTTACAATAAAATATTATTCAACCATAAAAAAGAAAGAAATCCTGCCATTTGCAACAACATGGATAAAGCTGGAGGACATTATGCTAAGTGATATAACTCAGGCACAGACAGCTGAATACCATCGAACGATCCCACTTCTGTGTATATATCCAAAGGAAATGAAGTCAGTATCTCAAAAATAATTCCACGTGATCTCACTTATAAGTGGAATCTAAAAAAGTCAAACTTCTAAAAGCAGAAAGCAAAATGGTGGTTGTCAGTGGCTCAGGATGGGGGGAATGGGAAGATACTGATCAAAGGATGAAAACTGTCAGTTATAAGATGAGTAAGTTCTGGAGATCTTATGTACAGCATAGTGACTATAGTTAATAATTCCATATTGTTTGAAATTTACTAAGAGTATACATCTTAATTGTTCACACTACACACATACACAAACAGGGATAAATGTAGAAACTCTGTGTGGCAATTAACGTGTCAATCTGATTGTGGTAATTATTTCACAAAGTATACACATAGCAAAGTAGCACGTGTACACTTTGAATATATATAACTTTTATTTGTCAATTATACCTCAATAAAGCTAGGAAAAAGGAAATAATCCAACTAAAACATGGAAAAAAATACCTTAGATGATTCACCAAAAATAATATATGGATACAAAATAAAAACATGAAAATAATTTTCTATATCATGAGTCTCTTAGGAAATGTAAATTATTAACACCACAATGACACATTATTACACAACCATTAGAATGACTAATATGAAAATCAGAGACAATATTGAGTACTAGAAAGCATGTGGAACACCTGGAACTCTCATACATTGCTGGTGGAAATGCAAAATGATACAACGGTTATGAAAACAGAGAGCAGCTTCTTTTAAAATTAACATACACTTTCCTATGGCCCAGAAATACAACTGCCAGACATTTAGGGAAATGAGAATTTATGTCAAAAAAATCCCTACTCTGGATGTCTATAAAATTTTTGTTAATAATTACCAAAAACTGGGGGAAGAAAAGTAACTTCTAAGTACAAGTGGACGAATAACTTGTGGTATATCCACATACTTAAATTCTACTCAGCAATTAAATGGAGCAACTTATTTATATATGCAAATACTTGGATGTATCACCTAGGTATTGTATTGAATGAAAGAAATAGACACAAAGGTTATATACTATATGGTTTAATCTGTATGATGTTCTCCAAAAGGCAATGCTTAATATCCATTGTAAATATTTGCCACTTTTTAGGGGTGGGTAGAGGCTATGAACGCAAATGAATTACCTGAGAAAATTGTGGTGATTGTGCTTTTTTGTATTTTATTTGTGGTAGTGGCTATATGAATCTGACAACTCTAAAAGCTAGCGTGATTTCTTTTTTTTTTTTCTTTGTCGCCCAGGCTGGAGTGCAGTGGCACGATCTCGGCTCACTGCAAGCTCTGTCTCCCGGGTTCATGCCATTCTCCTGCCTCAGCCTCCCGAGTAGCTGGGACTACAGGCGTCCGCCACCATGCCTGGCTAATTTTTTTGTACTTTTAGTAGAGACGGGGTTTCACCGTGCTAGCCAGGATGGTCTCTATCTCCTGACCTCGTGATTCGCCCGCCTCGGCCTCGCAAAGTGCTGGGATTACAGGCTTGAGCCACCGCGCCCGGCCAAAGCTAGTGTGATTTCTTACCTCCAAATGACCACACTAGCTCCCCGGCAAGTTTTTATTTGGCTGTTCTCTGTCAGACTGAAGAGGCTGAAATGACAAACACAGAATTCCAAATCTGGATAGCAAAGGAGGTCAGTGACATAATAGAAGACTGAAATCCAATCCAAGAAAAGCAGTAAAATGGTCCAAGATTAGAAAGAAGACAAAGCCATTTTAAGAAAGAACTGGCCAGGCGCAGTGGCTCATGCCTCCCAGCACTTTGAGAGGCCGAGGAAGGTGGATCACCTGAGGTCAGGAGTTCGAGACCAGCCTGACCAATATGGTGAAACCTCATCTCTACTAACAATACAAAAATTAGCCGGGTGTGATGGTGGGTGCCTGTAATCCCAGCTGTTTGGGAGGCTGAGGCAGAGGATTGCTTGAACCTGGGAAGCGAAGGTTGCAATGAGCCAAGATTGCGCCACTGCACTCCAGCCTGGGTGACAGAGTGAGACTCCATTTCAAACAAAAAACAAAACAAAACAAAACAAAAATACTAAACTTCTGGAAATAAAAAATTCACTACAGGAATTTCAGAATGCAATTGGAAGCACTAATAACAGAATAGACCAAGCTGAAGAGAGAATCTCAGAGCTCAAAGACCACTCCTTTGAATCAACACAGGAAGACAAAAATAAAGAAAAAAGAATTGAATGAAATGAACTCCAACAAATATGGGATTGCCTAAACTCATTGGCATTCTAGAAAGAGATGGACAGACAGCAGGCAACTTGAAAACATATTCGGTATATTGTCTTGAAAATTTCCCCAACCTTGCTAGAGAGGTCCACATGCAAATTCAAGAAATTCAGAGAACCCCTGCAAGAACTATACAAGACAACTATCTTAAAGACACATAGTCATCAGATTCTCCAAAGTAACTGTGAAACAAAAAATCTTAAAGGCAGCTGGAGAGAAGGGGCAGGTCACGTACAAAGGGAACCCTATGAGGGTAATAGCAGAACTTTCAGGAGAAACCTTACAAGCCAGAAGGGATTGGTGGCCTATATTTTGCATCCTTATAGGAAATAAATTCAAAACAAGAATTTCATATCCAGCCAAACTAAGCTTCATCAGTGAAGGAGAAATAAAATCCTTTTCAGACAATCATATGCTAAGGGAATTCATTACCACAAGATCTGCCTTACAAGAGGTCCTTAAGAAAGTGCTAAACCTAAAAATGAGAGACCATTACCTGCCATCAAAAATACACACTTAAATATATAGCCCACTAGCACTATAAAGCAATTCTACAATCAAGTCTACGTAACAACCAGCTATGACAGTATCAAGTTCTCACATATTAATACTAACCTTGAATGTAAATGAGCTAAATGCCCCACTTAAAAGACAAACAGTGAGAAGTTTGATAAAGAAGCAAGGCCCAACTGTATGCTGTCTTCACAAGACCTGTCTCACATACAGTGACACCCAGATGCTCAAAGTAAAGGGTGAGAAATGATCTATCAATCTAATACAAGACAACAAAGAGCAGGGGTTGCTATTCTTACTTCAGACAAAACAGACTTTAAAGCAATAATGATTTAAAAGGAATATGAGATGGTATCTCATTGTGGTTTTGATTTGCATTTCTCTGATGGCCAGTGATGATGAGCATTTTTTCATGTGTCTTTTGGCTGCATAAATGTCTTCTTTTGAGAAGTGTCTGTTCATATCCTTCGCTTACTTGTTGATGGGGTTGTTTGTTTTTTTCTTGTAAATTTGTTGGAGTTCATTGTAGATTCTGGATATTAGCCCTTTGTCAGATGAGTAGATTGCAAAAATTTTCTCCCATTCTGTAGGTTGCCTGTTCACTCTGATGGTAGTTTCTTTTGCTGTGCAGAAGCTCTTTAGTTTAATTAGATCCCATTTGTCAATTTTGTCTTTTGTTGCCATTGCTTTTGGTGTTTTAGACATGAAGTCCTTGCCCATGCCTATGTCCTGAATGGTATTGCCTAAGTTTTCTTCTAGGGTTTTTACGGTTTTACGTCTAACATGTAAGTCTTTAACCCATCTTGAATTAATTTTTGTATAAGGTGTAAGGAAGGGATCCAGTTTCAGTTTTCTACCTATGCCTAGCCAATTTTCCCAGCACCATTTATTAAATAGGGAATCGTTTCCCCATTTCTTGTTTTTGTCAAGTGTGTCAAAGATCAGATGGTTGTAGATATGTGGCATTATTTCTGAGGGCTCTGTTCTGTTCCATAGGTCTATAAATGAAAGGCATTACATACTGATAAAGGTCTTAATTCAACAAGAAGGCTTAGCTATCCAAAATGTATATGCACCCAACACTGGAACACCCAGTTTCATAAAACAAGTTTTTCGAGACTTATGAAGAGATTAAGACAACCACATACTAAGAGTGGGACCACATTATTCAACACCCCTCTGACAGTGTTAGACATATCAAGGCGAAAAACAAAGATAGGGAACTAAACTCCACACTTAATCAAATGGACCTAACAGACATCTAAAGAGTACTTCACCCAACAACAACAGAATACACATTTTCCTCATCTGTACATAACACATACTCTCGGATCAACCATATGATTTTCCCTAAAACAACTGTAAACAAATTTAAAAAAATCATACCAACCACACTCTCAGTCTACAGCATAATAAATATGAAAATCAATATAAGAAGTTTTCTCAAAACCATACAATTACATTGAAATTAAACAACCTGCTCCTGAGTAACATTTTAGGGAATGACATGAAGCTATAAATCAAATAATTATTTGAAAATAATGAAAACAGAGATACAACCTACCAGAATCTCTGGGACACAGCTAAAGCAGTATTAAGTGGAAAGTTTACAGCACTATATGTTTGCATCAGGAATTTAGAAAGTTCTCAAATTAACAGCCTAACCTTACACCTAGAGGAACTAGAAAAACAAGAGGAAATCAACCCCAAAGTTAGCAGAAGAAAGGAAATAGCCCAAATCAGAGCTGAATTGAATACAATTGAGATGTGAAAATTCACACAAAAAATCAATGTAACAAGAAGTTGGTTTATTGAAAGGAGGAATAAGATTGATAGAATGTTAGCTAGACTAATAAAGAAAAAAGAATATCCAAATAAACACAGTCAGAAGTGACAAAGGTATCATAACCACTGATCCCACAGAAATACCAAGATCCTTGGAAACTATTATGAACACCTCTGTGCACACAAACTCGAAAACCTAGAAGAAATCAATAAATCCTTGGAGACATACAACCTCCCAAGATTGAACCAGGAAGAAATTAAAAACCTGAACAGACCAGTAACAAGTTCTGAAGTTGAATCAGCAATTAAAAACCTACCAACCAAAAAGCCCTGGACCAGACAGATTCATAGGCAAATTCTACCCGAGGTATGAAGAAGAGCTGGTGCCAATCCTACTGAAATTATTCCACAAAATTGAGGAGGAAGGATTCCTCACTAACTCATTCTATGAGGCCAGCATCATTCTGACACCAAAACCTGGCAGACACACACACACAAATTTCAGGCCGATATCCCTGATGAACATGGATGCAAAAATCCTCAGCAAAATATTAGCAAACTGAACAGAGCAGCACATCAAAAAGCTAATCCACCATGATCAAGTAGGTTTTATTCTTGAGAATCAAGGTTGGTTCAACCTACACAAATCAATAAATGTGATTCATCAAATAAACAGTACTAAAAATACCATATGATAATCTCAATAAATGCAGAAAAACTTTGAAAATACTCAACATCTCTTTGTGCTAAAAATCCTCAACAAACTAGGCATCAAAAGAACGTAACTCAAAATTGTAAGAGCCATTTATGACAAACCCACAGCCAACATCATATTAAATGGGCAAAAGCTAGAACCATTCCCTTTGAGAACTGGAAAAAGACAAGGATGTCCCCTCTCACTAGTCCTATTCAACATTGTACTGGAAGTTCTAGCCAGAGCAATCAGGCAATGGTAAGAAATAAAATATATCCAAATAGGAAGAGAGGAAGTCAAACCATCTGTCTTCACAGAAGATATAATTCTATACTGAGAAAACCGCATAGTCTCTGCCCCAAAATTCCTAGATCTGATAAACAACTTCAGTAAAGTTTCAGGTATAAAATCAGTGTCAAAAAATTAAGAGGATTTCTATATACCAATAATGTCTGACAGCCAAATCAAGAACACAGTCCGACCTATAATATCCACAAAAGGAGTAAAGTACTTAGTAATACAGCTAACCAATGTACAAGTTTGATAAAGAAGCAAGGCCCAACAGTGTGCTGTCTTCATAAGACCTATCTCACAGGCAATGACACCCAGATGCTCAAAGTAAAGGGGTGGGGAAAGATCTGTCAATCTAAGAGAAAACAACAGAGTAGGAGTTGCTATTCTCGTTTCAGACAAAACAGACTTTAAAGCAAGTACGATTTGAAAGGAAAGTGAAAGGCATTACATATTGATGAAGAGCTCAATTCAACAAGAAGACTTAATTATCCAAAATATATATGCACTTGACACTGGATTCATAAAACAGGTTTTTAGAGACTTATGAAGAGATTTAGACAACCACACACTTTTGTTTTGTATAGTGCTGAAAGAAATCAGAGACAACACAAACAAACTGAAAAACATTCTGTGATAATGGATAGGAAGAATCAATATTATTAAAATGGCCATACTGCCCAAAGAAATTTATAGATTCAATGCTCTTGCTATCAAACTACTCATATATTTTTTCACAGCATTAGATAAAACTATTACAAAATTTACATGAAACCAAAAAATAGCCCAGATATTCAAAGCACTCCTACACAAAAGGAACAAAGCCAGAGGCATCACACCACCCAACTTCAAACTATACTACAAGCCTACAGTAATAAAAACAGCATAGTACTGGTAGAAAAACAGACACATAGGCCTATGGAATAGGCTAGAGAAATGAGAAATAAAGTTGCACACCTACAACCATCTGTTCTTTGACAAAGTTGACAATAAGAAGCAATGGGGAAAGGACTTTCTGTTTAAAAAATGGTGTTGGAATAAGTGTTTAGCCATATGCAGAAGATTGAAACCCCTTCTTTCAGTATATGCAAAAATTAACTCAAGACAGATTAATGACTTAAATGTAAGACCTAGAACTAAAAAACCCTAGAAGAAAATCTAGGGTTTTCAGGAAATTTCATTTCTAGAAATATTCCAGACATAGACCTTGGCAAAGATTTTATGGCAAAGTATTCAAAAGCAATTGCAACAAAAAAATGGAGAAGTGGGGCTTAATTCAACTAAAGATCTTCTGCACAGCAGAAGAAACCATCAACAGAGTAAACAGACAACCTACAGAATGAGACAAAATATTCACAAACTATGCTCCAACAAAGGTCTAATATCCAGAATCTACAAGGAACTTAAACACCAACAATGAAACAGCAAAATATCACATTACAAATTAGACAAAGGACATGAACAAATACCTCTCAAAAGAAGACATACCCATGGCTAATAAGCATATGGAAAAATGCTCAACAGCACTAGTCATTAGAGAAATGCAAATCAAAACCACATTGACTTACCATCTCACACAATCAGAATGGCTATTATTAAAAAGTCAAAAAATAACATGTTGGTGAGGTTGTGGAAAAAACGAAACAAAACACCTGTACACTGCTTGGGGGAATGGAAGTTATTCCAGCCACTTGTGGAAAGCAGTCTGAAGATTTCTCAAAGAACTTAAAACACAGCTACCATTCAGCCCAGCAATACTCCCTGGGTATACATCCAAAGGAATACAAATGCACGTGCACTTGTATGTTCAACACAACATTATTCGCATTAGCAAAGACACGGAATCAACCTAGATGACCATCAACAGTGGACTGGATAAAGAAAATATGGTACATATGCACCATGGAATACTATGCAGCCATAAAAAGAAATAAAATCGTGTCCTTTGCAGTAATGTAGATATAGCTGATGGCCATGATTCTAAGTGAATCAATGCAGGAACAGAAAACCAAATATTGCATGTTTTCACTTGTAAGGGGGAGTTAAACACTGTAAATGCAGACATAAAGAAGAGACAAATAGACACTGGAGCCTACTACAGGCTGGAAAGTGATGATTGAAAAACCACCAATCGGTACTATGCTCGCTACCTGGGTGATGAAATGGTTTGTACACCAAACCCCAGTGACACACAATTTAAACACGTAACAAACCTGCACATGTACCTCCTGAACCTAAAATAAAAGTTGAAAAGGAAAAAATCAAGACTATACACCCAAATGTCTATATAATTTATATTTAATACAAATATGTAGACTTTTTAATATGTTTAACTTCCACAGGCAGTATAGCCACATTATCATCAACTTTTTCTACTTGATTGATTGAACTATATTTTTATATATTTTAATATAAAAAATTCCTTCACATGAAAGTGTCAAAAATTTCCAAAATTGCTAATATATTTATTAAAATTCCTAAAGATTTGTTTACATTAAAACAAACAAAAAAGGCTGAAAGATGCCGAACATGGATGTAATTTTCTATAGCAAACTTATGATAAGGCCGGGCATGGTGGCTTATGCCTGTAATTCCAGCACTTTGGGAGGCCAAGGCAGGCGGATCCCCTAAGGTCAGGAATTTGAGACCAGCCTGACCAACATGGCGAAGCCCTGTTTTCACAAAAAATACAAAAATTAGCTGGGCATGGTGGCACACGCCTGTAATTCCAGCTACTCGGGAGGCTGAGACAGGAGAATTGCTTGAACCCGGGAGGTGGAGGTTGCAGTGAGCCGAGATCGTGCCATTGCACTCCAGCCTGGGCAACAACAACGAGACTCTATCTCAAAAAAAAAAAAAAAAAAAGAAAAGAAAGAAAAGAAAACCCATGATAAAAAAACCAAGTCATTCAAACATTGACAATTTAATTTGTGCTGATAATGTAAAAGCAGTGTCTTTTGTCATTTGTCCTGGCATTTGAAAATGACAGGATAGAAGTAATTGAGTTTCTGTTGCTTCATCTTACATTCACTGTGCTATTGTTGCTTATTTCAAACCTACTGTTTAAATGCAGAAATATAAAGCACTGCCTAGGTGGAAGACAAAAATGTCACCAGAACAAAGCTCCATACTACTACAAATTCTTGAAACCAACATATGTACCTGAGCACTAAATAACTAGGGGTTCTTTAAATTAACTTCTGTGTGAAGTATAATATTTATTTTAAAAATATCTAACAAAAATTGCATTATGTAGCATAACATGTATTGTGCAACTGCAACAATAGTTTAGAACATAAACATTATAGATAGATATGTTCATATAGATAGATAATATGTATATGTTTAAAACTGTTGTTTAGATAGTTTGATTTAGAACAACATATCTATTGTTTAGGTAGTTTAGAACATAGATAATAGTTTAGAACACTAATATATTTTTATATCAGTGATAAAAATTATATTGTGATAATAAAAAGGACTAATTTTGAGTATTATTATTATTTTTAATTATCTATGAAGAAATGCATCACCTTATTGCCTGCTCCTGCCAGCCAACTCCGACTGCCCAGCCCTTGATGCTCCAGGGCCACTTGATGAACTGTTCCAAGCACCTGCCCTCTTTCTTTCTGTTTTAATCTACCTAACTCCTACTGGTCCTAAAACTTTTTTATCTTTCTCTTCTCCATATTTCCTGATTCTCCTCCCTTTCTTCCTTCTATGGCATTGTAGCATGTTCTTATACATTTAATTTAGTATTTTTCAGGTTGTGACACCTTAAGTATCTTCACAATCAAACATGGTTATCATAGTTTAGGATCCTCCAAGAGCAACTTTTGAGACAAAAGTTCTAGTGCAAATAAGTTGTTAGGAAAGATTCCAGATAAATCTGGTAGGCAAATGGTGAAGGATAGCAGACACTATCTGTATCCTACTAAGCATCCTCAAATCTTCTCATTTCAATTTGTGTGTTCGATTTACAGAGAGCAGTATCTGCATCTCCATGCATAAGGATTTTCCCCAATATGTAGCCCACTCTGTGCAGTTGGCAGGCTAGAAGTACCAGGGAATTAAATGTACCACCCCAAAAGCCCTCAATTAATAATTTATGGTTGTTGGTATATAATCTCAGATTATCTCTTCTCTTGGTTGACACAACTCTGAGGCATGCTTTTGCCCTTTGCCCTTTCCCCTAGAGTGAAGCAATCCTGTGGTTTCTAGATTAGTAACGCACACTTCGAGCTTGGTTTCTTCTCTGTAGCACCTACCCATTTCCCTTCTAATGTTTCCTGCATCTCCCAAATACTATGCCTCTGCTTCTGGAGGGTCATAAAATAAGACAGGAAGAGGGAAAGTAAAGAGAAAACTGTCATTCAAAGGAAAGCTGTAAAGCAAGTTACCAGTATAAGCAAGTTCCTGCATCTCCCAAATACTATGCCTCTGCTTCTGGAGGGTCATAAAATAAGACAGGAAGAGAGAAAGTAAAGAGAAAACTGTCATTCAAAGGAATGCTGTAAAGCAAGTTACCAATATAAAGCAAGTTGCCACTAGGGAATTATGGGAGACAATGGGGAATAGGAGCCTCAGAATTATTCTACACAAAAGAAAAGGGAGCCTCTATACTGATATACTGACACCCACCAGTCACTGGTTAAGTGATGATGACCTTAGAATGTTTGTATTCTCTGGCGTTTCTGGCCTGCTGTGGACAAAGTAGAGAATGAGATTGCTACTAGAGAAAACTCTCAGAAAAGTAAATGTAGGTGCTGACTTTTGTAAGCCAGGCCAGTCTGCCTACGGAATGGGGAAGAAAGGTTAGTTTCTTCCACACTGGGATCCTCAAGAAGGTTACTGTATTTTATTTGTTTTTCCTCCAAAGGGTTTATCACCATGGCTGACACAAAGAAGGTATGAAAATTTTTTCTAAACCACATAATTGAGAGGATAAAGCAACTATATGGTTAAGAAATCATAGATACATTCAATACAAGTACTTTAGGATAACTGTGAAATGGAGTTTATGAGGAAATCTGAGCAAAATGTTGAGCTTCCTGAGTGAGGCATTTTCTGGAGCTTCAATATCAAATTATGTAAAATGAGCTCTGCCAGTGAGAAAGATAGTTTAGACCTCTGAAAATCATTCTCTCTTCTAGTTGAAGAAAACCAAAGGGGTAAAGTGAGGAAGAACACACAATATCTAGGAAACATCTCACTTTCTAAAAATCACAATGTGAATGGTTCATTTTTTCAAAAATCACATGGAAAATGAAAAACATTTCTTAGAAAATAGACTGAGTTTCCAAAAGGTACAGAGGAATATAGAATATAAATGTGTCAGAAAATAATAATGAGATAGTTTTACTTCTAGGGGAATAATTATCCAAATTATAAATGAGTCTCAATATATTTCAGAAAAATATTCTGAAAATTATAGGACAAACATCTCACCCATTTTAGGACTGGTGTGGTGAGGCTGCAGCATTTCTCTATTTATTCTTCTGATCTCAGGCCACTTCACTGATTAAACTTTCTTCAAGAAAGAAAAATTTCTCTACTTTCTTGGTCAATAACTATTTACCAAGTCTTTTGAGGGAACAGGCAAATCAACTTTGATGTAAAGAGAGCTTGTTCCATCTTTGGAAAGGGGCAAATAAAGATGATGGAATCATTGTCAAGCTTCTTATGGCTGCTAGTGATAATGTCAGAAGTTCTTAATATGAACAGCATATTAAATTTTCAATATGCCATTGAGTGTGTTAGATGTAACATAAATTATCTTGCCAACTTTATCTCATTTAAAGTTCTTTGACACCAATGCTCAATGACAAAGTACATCTCACTATGAACCAGACTGATCTATTTTGTTTACCCTTTATTTTTTAAATTCTTCATCTTGATTTTGTCAGGCTTGTTTTTGCCATCTGTCTGTTACTTGAAGGACATTGGTAGCTGTAAGGTCATCATCTTCTCACAGATATGCCTGGACTGACATGCACTGCTCACAAGCTGAAGCACTGTCTTCTTCAGGGATCCAGGTGGAGTGGCAGATTTATTACCCTTTCCCTGGAGGAGTCTGCTTCAAAGTGGAAATGAACTTGGGAGCTCAAAATGTCCAGCACACCAAAAACATTTGCCTTACATTGACAACAGCAATAAAGCATTTTCTCCTTTTAACAAAAACATCAGGAAAATGTAGCATTTGCATTACAGTAACACATTCCCTGAAATATCTTTTCATCAGACAGACTTGCTTTCTCTGTCATTTGCCCATCTTTGTAATTGCTATGTCTGAATTTTTTTTTCCTATGAACTTAGCAGTTACATTAAATGAAAAAAGAGTTGACATTTACTCCCACATGCTTTTTCAAAGACTGATGACTAACAGCATGGAAGAAATATGTACTTTATCATGATTGTTTCAAGGAAGAATTCCAATATGATATTTCATTAGTTTTAGTAGTGCAATTATGATGATTACAGTTACAGCTCTGTTCAAGTGTTGCTTCTGGTGCTGTTTCTTCTGACAGAATTTTCCTAAAGTACACTCCTTATGTCTCTGTGTTTGTAGAAGAGGATGAAGCATGAGTGGTGACCTTTATACTCTGTCAGATAGTGTCCTGGTTCTCACCAAGTTTCGTGCTTTTTAGCTTTGAGTCTTCAAACCAAAATATCACTGAAAGATTTTTTCCCCAGACTAAAGTCCACTAACCATCACAAGTCTAAATACTGTAAAAAAAAAAAAAAAATCAGTGCCTTACCTTATAGTTTTACTTTATTGAGCCAGCAAAGCTAAGCATTTTTTTTTAATTTTACTGAGAATTTTGTCTTCCCTTTTGAATGCAAATGAAAGTAAATCACAATCTCCATAGAAATACAATAAAATTATTAGCTGGTGATTCTCTTTGATTTATGAGAGAAAATGAGTGTGTGTGAGCATGTGTGTGCGTGCATGCAAGTAAAAATGCTCACTTTTTTTAAAAAAGTGAGAGATATAGGAATATCCTACAAGCAAAGAAATTAGAAAGTGATGACCTTAAAGATAAATGGATTCAGTGGCCTTCCCAATAAACAATGTAAGTGAAATGAATTTATGAGTCTCAGCAGATTCCTGAGGTCCTGTAGCAACTGAAACAAAAGTCATCTCTGATTTGACAAATATGGGTCCCCTTGACTGGGGAGATTATTTAACATACCACCTAGCCCTTTCCTTATAAATACCTCTGAATGTGCAGAGTACTTGTCAGTAGTGACTGAAAAAGGAGCACAAGCAACAATGGAGATAAATATTTTTCTCAGGGCACTATTTCCTATGATTTCCCGGAAACCCCTTTAAGTTTAAAAATGAAAAAAAAAAATCTATGTCAGAAGACTCGTTTACAAAAAGAAGACAGATCTCAATCGGTTACCTCAGTTATTCTCAATTACTTTCATTGCAATTATTAAGCTATGGTTGACTATGAGCAATCCCAAATGTAATTTGTTCTATATCCTAGGATTTAGATTATATCACAATAAAGAAGAGTTTCTAAGACTATGTAGAGAATGGCAGAATACCTACATCCGCTATAGTTAAAAAAAATGAAATGTATAAATGATTATCCAGTCAGATTTGGATTGTGTAACCAGCCACTACCAACAGCTATTGTGCTGAATTCTTAGTGTATTAATTTTTTAGGGCTGCCACATAAATTACCACAAATCAAAAGGCTTAAACAACAAAAATTTGTTTTCTCATATTTCTGGAGGCTAGAAGTGTGCAATCTAGGTGTCAACAGAACCATGCCCTTTATGAAGACTTTAGGGTCCTTCCTTGCCTCTTATTATCTGCTAGTAGCCAGGAATCCTCAGCCTTTCTTGGCTTGTAAATGCATTACTTACCTCTGTCTTCATAGGATTCTCCTCTATGTCTTCACATAACCTTCCCTGTGTGTATGTCTCTGTGTCCAAATTAACTTCATTTCATAAGGGCACCAGTCATTGGATTTAGGGTCCACCTTTAATCCAATATGTTCTCATTTTAACTTGATTACATCTGTTTTCGGCAAAACACTATTTTCAAATAAGTTCTCATTCTGAGGTTCAAGTAGAATGAATTTTGAGGTGGCACTCTTCAAACCAGTGCATGAGCTAAGTAGGAGGAAACAGTAAAGCTACTAATAATTTATTTTGTTTCAAAAGACACATTGGGAATTCTGTCCTCTGTAAGAAATCAAGGGCATATGATGTTCACAAAAGCAGCAGTAAGACAGGAAGGCTTTTATATTCTACTATATTTCATTTTCTTGGAGGCAATGTAAAGCCATCAAATGATTTCTAATCAGGGAAGACAGTTTTTGATGCTTATTTTAGTAAATTTATTCTCTTCGAACATAATAGTAAAAAAGTAGAGGCAGCAAGTTTGGAAAATTTATTGAAGGCCTTCATGCTAAAAGAAAAGAGAGGGCAGTACTTCAAGGAAAATAGAAGCTCAGGGGTAGATATACTTATTAGCAAGATAATTTGAACATTTATCCTCTGCAGTATATATCCTAGAGAGGAGAAATTTGAAAATAAGTGAGAGAAAGTGAATAGGCAATATAAGAACAAAGATACACATGGTTGGCTTACACTATAAAGCAAACAAACTCTTTTTTTTTTATCAGAATGAAGACAATGTCAGAGGTTAATGCAGATGCAAACTTTATAGGTAAAAGCTGGAGAAATTGAGAGAATTATGCCTTTATGAAGCAGGAAGCAAGGCTGAGTGCATAAGTGCCTTGTTTGTTGTGAGCTAGCCAGACAAAAATGAACAAAGTAGACACAACTCTTGCCAATTTAAGAATTTACAGAGTTTGCAGAGATACAAGTTTGCAGAGATACAATTATAATATAGGTAATTTTGAAAAGTAAGGTATGTCACAGAAATACATGGCAAGAAGGTAAAATTCAGTTTGAGATAGTCAATGAAGCAGAATTTAAACTGAGACCTAAAGAATGTATAAGAATAACTATCAAAGCAGTATATGGTATAGGAAAGAGTATTCTAAGATAGGAAACAGCATGACCAAACCCAGGAGAAAATTTATATGGCAGTTTCAAGGAATTGAAAGAAACTAAGTGTGGCTGATTTGCTAACTCTAAGAGATATATTGATATATATTGATATATTGAGATATATTGAGAAATAATGCTAAAGTAGAAAATAAGCAGACCAGACCATGGACCAGAAAATTAGTGGACCAGAAAGTGTTAGCAGCTAGTTTAAGTTTAGACTTTATTTTAAGGAGAGATGATAAGCCATTTAAATGTTTTATGTGGGAACATAAGACTGTAAGATTAACATATTAAAGGGTGGCTGTTGTTGCTTGTATAAAATGTATTAAAGGAGATCAAAAATGAAGTGGGAGGAAACAGTTTGGAGTCTACAGCAATAATCCATGTGAAAGATACTGGTAGATGTAGCCAGAATAGTAGACATGAATATAAGAATAGATAAGTTTTAGGTACATTTTAGGTACAATGATTTATTTAAGAAATATTTAGGATTAACTTAGGAATTATTTAGAATATTTAGAACAATAGGTAAGTGAGGCAAAAGAGAATGATGAATCAGATCTCACACTCAGAATTCTGATTTGCACAGTGGATTGATGCTGGAGCCATGCACTGATACATGAAGTTGGAAAGATTATAAACACTACGTGAGAAATGTGGCATTTAGGATATATGAGAAATATTCACATGGAGTTTTCCTAAACTCTAGATGAGTGTTATAGGCTGGAGTTAGTATTTTGGCAATTATCTAGAACATGGAAACTTATGTAATGGAAGGGCAGGAAAGAATTTGTAGAGTGATGAGGAAAAGAAGCTAAGAACTGAACCCTGTTAAGTTAAATATTTAAAGCAGAGTAGGTGAAGAATAGAAAGCAAATACATGGAGAAAGATCAAAGTAGCTGAAAGTCTTAGAATGTGTGATTTAATAGCAATAAAAATAGACTTCTTCAAAAACAGGCATGTGCTTAGCTCAAAGGTTAAGTAAAATAATCCATGAGAAATGTACATTTGGATTTTGATACGAAAAAGGAATTAGATGTCAATGGGGGCTAGACTAAAAGAATGTAAAAGTTGAGAAAGTACAGGTAGGCAATTGTTTCAAAAAGTTTGGCACTATAGATTATTTCTTTCTATAGATTCATATATATTTGTTTCAGATGATATCTTTATCATGTATCTATTAGCTAGATGAAGCTGTTATGAAATAATGTTTTTGAATTTGATATAGTACTTGTATTCATCCTATTTTATTACACTAATTTATCAATTCTAATTTCTTTCACTTTTCTAGGTATATATCATGCCATCTAAAAATAATGATTGTATAGTCTTATTAATTCTAATATTTGCTCTTCTTAGTTTCATTTGATAAAGTGCTTCATTGATCATGACTTCAAAAACAATATGAAATCAAAATGAGGAATGGCTTATCCAAGATGGCTGGCCCACGGGCTGATTGATTGTCTAATCTTTGAGGAAAGGAAATTATTGAGTGTCCTAATTATAGTCACAAGGCTTTAAGCCTTTGACATATATAGTTTTTCCCATTTGAGGCACTGTCTAGTTACTGACTCACTGCATCAAGAAGTCAGTGACAATCTGTTCTACCCAGAGACTTAATAATCTGGACACTGTCTTGAGATAACATTTTTCCTTTACTTACTGAAAAATTGTTTTTTTATTAATTTTCTAAATCATTTAATTTTTTTGAAAAAAATTTAATACTATGGAAGAGTTGACAATAGTCATTCCCTTCTCCATACATCTTCAGCCCTCTTCTCTTCTAGATAAGAGTTAATTTCAATAACTGAAAATCAAATCACATCTATAAGCATTGTTTACTACAGAGCCAATTAGTTTTTTTAAATTATGTTTTCTTCTTCAAAATTTTTATATCACAATACCTGTTTCACATAAACAAAATGATTCAGGGTAAGTGAATTATTTTCACTTGAGCTCCATACTTAGCTCAAAACCTTGCCACTTGACTTTTTTCATATGACAACCTCAACATTTTTCTCCTAGGGTTAATTATTTATTGTTTTTGATGCTGATGGAATTTAATGATTATTTTTATTCTCTATTTGATTTATCTCTTTTAGAATATTTATTATTTTCTTCCTTCTACTGGCTAAGGGTTCAGTTGACTTATCTTTTGCTAATTATTTAAAGTGTACAATTAGTTTATTCGAGATGTTATTTTTAATGTAGGCATACACAGCTATACATTTCCCTCTCACTACTACTTTCAATGAATCCTATGTATTTTAGTGTGTTTCATTTTATTATAATTCATCTAAAAGTATTTTTTAATTTTCCTTGTGATTTCTTCTTTGACCTATTGGGTTTTTAGAGTGTGTTGTTTAATTTCTACATATCTGTGAGTTTTCCAGTTTTCCTTATGTCATTGATTTCTAGCTTCATTCCATTGTTGCCTGAAAACATTCTGTGTATGATTTCAATATTTCTGAATTTTTTAAGACTTATTTTGTGCCTGAACGTATAGTCTATTCTGGAAAATGTTCCATCTGCTCTTGAGAACCATGTGTCTTCTGCTGTTATTAGGTGTAGTATTCTGTACATACCTGCTAGGTTCAGTTGGCTGATAGTGTTGCTCAAGTCCTCATTTTCTTATTAATCTTTTGACTTGTCATTCTATTCATTATTAAAAGTGCAATATTGTTTGATGGTACCTACTTACATTTAAAAAAAAAAAGCCCTGTGATATTGATGTCTCCAACTATTATTGTAGAACTGTCTCTTTATCTTTATTTTGAGGGATCTATTGTTAGGTCTCTACTGGTGACTCTATTTAAATATAATTTGTCAGAAGACCCTTTCCTAAACAAATAACTCCTTATTCTCTGTCTCCCTGCTACTCTAAGTGTGATAAACAGTCCAGCATTTGTATATCCCTGGGAAGCTATCAGAGATAAGGATCTCAATCTTCACTTTGGAGCTACTGAATCAGAATCTACATCTTAACAAGACCCATAGATGACTTTTGTCAAAATTCAAGTTTGAGTAGTTTTTTTTTCTATCCCCTAACTGTTGTTATCTTTTTAAATAGTACATATGGCTTCCTCATATTTATGTATTAACTTGTAATTTGGTTCGTCAATTGTCTTCCTCTATAACAACATAAGCTCATTGGGAACAGAGCTTCCTTCATTGTGTTCCTTTCCAAATCACAATATGTAGAGCAGTCTGGTCCACAGTAGGTGCTTAATAATAATTGTTGCATAACTGGAAGAAAGAATGAATGAGTTAAAACATCTCTTTAATGAGTAAAAAGTTCAAATGATCTTCCATTGCCCTTAGAATGTAAGTCTTAAATCTTCTGGTATCTTCTCCTGTCACACTACTTTTCTCATTATTTCCCAAACACACTGGACTTTTTGAGTCCTTGAATATATCATAATCTTATCTACCTCAGGTCCTTTGGGAGTGATGGTCCATCCCCCTAGTGTACTCACTTCTCCCCTCTTTATAGAACTTATTCCTGTCCCTTATTTAGCTTCAAACAGCTTTTTTTGATCAGATCAAACAAGAGTATGCTATCTATGTTTCCCTGAATTTCTTCACTGCAGATTTTATCTCAATTAAATTTGTTTTAATGTTGCATCTCCAGCTCCAATAGAGAAAAGATGTACTTGCTTAATTACTAATGTAATAATATTTACTAGGCTAAGAATATATCTTTTATTATACTTTTAAAATTAGAGCTATACTTGGTTTATATTTAATCATATATTTTCTGTAACTATTGAGGAATATGTTTATTTTTATTGGTGTGATGAATAATATTTAGAAATTGTTTTCTTTATTTTGAAGTATCCTCTTTTCAGAGTAAATTCTATTTGAATATGATGTACCATCAAACATTTGCTTAATGACAAGGGTATATTCTGAGAAATGTGCCATTAGGTGATTTCCTTACTGTGCAAACATCATAGAGTGCACTTACACAAAACTAGATGGTGCAGACTACTACACACTTAGGCTATATGGTATAGACTATTGCCCTGAGGCTACAAACATGTTTACATTACTACTTTACTGAATACTATAGGTAACTGTAACACACTGGTAAGAATTTGTGTACCTAAACCTAGAAAAAATATAGTACAAATTTGGTATTATCATCTTATGGAACCGCTACTGTATATATGGTCTGTTGATGACTGAAATGTTATGGAGCACATGACTATATTATAATGTGATTATTAATTATGTTTTCCATTATAAACAACAATTCTAAATTATATTAGCATGGCTTGTTTTCTCATGTTGTTCTCTGTATGAAAATATTTTTTATTTCTCTAAGTAGCAAACACTTATACATGTACGTGTTTTTCCTTCAAATGAATTGTGAAGATACAAATTGTATCTTTTCTTCCACCACCTCCTACTATTTAGCTAAATAGATTTTTAAACATATTTTCCATTACTGATGGGGCAAGTAGTTCATTGTTTATTATTACACAAGTTGAGTTCAACGACACTCAGTTTACATTCCAGCTCCAAAACTAATAAGCAGTGCGATCATGAGTGATTACTTAATTGTTCTAAACTTCTGTTTCCATTTCTGAAAATAATACCTATTGTGTTATATTGTTTTGTAAAAATTCCATGAAATAATACATGTTTTTTGGTTAGAATTTCTTGACAGAATGAGTAAGCCTTCAATAAATGGGGTGTTGTTATTTAGCGGTGTACCTCAATGGGAAATATTTATGAATCTTTCTAAAACTCTTTTGAGAATGCTCTACTTGCACTGCCAAGTCAAACAGAATAATCTGTACTTTCTTATTTCATATAGATCATGATGAACCATGGCTAAGTCAAATAAGCTTTCCAAGTACCTGATTAATATTTTCCTGTGCTCCTTACAAATTTAGACCTCAAATATGAGTAAATCTAAGCATGGTCCTTGGTTAAAAAACAAATGACAGAAAAACACTACACATATGCATTGTAAAACCATGCCTACTTTGGCTTTACTTAGGAGAATGGAAATGTGGAGAAATGTGCTGAAGATGGAATATGGAAAATGTCTCATTTTATCTGGTTCTTATTTCTTCCTTAATTTCACTCAACTCAAGGATGATGATTATTTGATTATCCTTTCAAGTGTTGATTAGAAAATTTCATCTTCTAGTTTTCATTAAATGAGACTGAAGGATAAAATGACATAGTTTCATGTACATCATATAAGTAAATTGTGAGTCTAAGCTATTTGAAATAATTTATAAAATGCTTTTAATGCACTTAGTGTATATTATATAGTTCAGTGATTCTGCCTTTGTTCTTGCTTCCTTTCCTAATTGAATTAGTACA